>NC_000014.9:70975349-71126864 GCF_000001405.40 Homo sapiens | reverse complement strand
GTGAGAGTTACCTAGAGCATCTGTGATAGTCTTGTAGGCTTCTGAGGTGATCGGGCAGTGTCAGTCTTCAGCTGCTAAGCTGAGAAGATCTGGGAAGGAGTCAGTCAGAGAGCCTTGGGCTAGAGTTCTAGGGGCTCTGGAAGTGGCTGCCAGGTGAGTTGAACAGTCCAGTTTTCAGTGGGATCCTGCACAGATGGGACATGGCTTAGGAGGAATCCTGGGCTGTGGGCATTCTTTGGCCTAGTGGCCAGATTTCTGGCACTTGTAGCAAGCTCCTGGGGAAGGAGGTTCTGGGGGAACCCCTGGCAGCTGTGGTTCAGGCGTTTGGAGTTCTTGTGTGCTGGAGATGTGACGGGTTTGTCTCACAGTGGAGGCAAGGAATTGCAACTCAGAAATACATTGCTACTTGGCTGCCTCTACTCCATTATTGTACACTTTGAAGGTGAGGTTAATTAAGTCCTGTTGTGGGGTTTGAGGGCCGGAATTTAATTTTTGGAGTTTTATTTAATGCCGGGAGCAGATTAGGTAATAAAATGTATATTGAGAATAAGACGGCCTTTTGACCTTTTAGGGTCTAGGGCTGTAAAGCATCTCAGGGTTGCTGCCGAACGAGCCATAAACTGGGCTGGGTTTTTCATATTTGATGAAAGAGCTTAAACACTCACTGATTTGGGAGAGGTCTGATAAAGAAAAAGGAGCATTAACTTCCACTATGCCTTTAGCTTCAGCCACCTTTTTAAGAGGAAATTGCTGGGCAGGTAGGGGAGGGCTACTCACGGAATGAAACTGTAAACGGGACCAGGTGTGAGGAGGGGAGGTGATAAAAAGATTATAGGGTGGAGGAGTGGAGGCTGAGGAAGAATTGGGACCTAGCTCGGCCTGGCGAGGAGCAGCCTGGGGAGGAGGGGAGAGGTCAGATGGGTCTGTAGAAAAGGAAGATTAGAAAGACTCAGCGATGCTTGGGGTTGGGACTGAGGGGACAGGCGGGAGGGAAAGAAGGAAGATTTGGGACGAGTTGCACTGGGCACAGAGGCTAGGGAGGGACTGATGTGTAAAAGAATGCCTGGACGTCAGGCACTTCAGACCATTTGCCTATTTTTCAACAAAAATTATTTAGGTCTTGTAGGATGGAGAAATCGAAAGTGCCGTTTTCTGGCCATTTAGAACTACTGTCGAGTTTGTATTGGGGTCAAGCAGCATTGTAGAAGAAAATAAGGCATTTGGGTTTTAGGTCAGGCGAGAGTTGAAGAGGTTTTATGTTCTTAAGAACACAGGCTAAGGGAGAAGGAGGAGGAATGGAGGGTGGAAGGTTGCCTATCGTGAAGGAGGCAAGTTTAAAGAAAAGGGAGAGTAGAGACATGGAGGGAAGCAGTTCGGGGGTTCTTACCTTCCAGAAAAGCGGGAAAGGGGTCGGGGCGCAGAGATACAAGGTCAGGACACGGAAATAAGGGATCAGGGCACAGAGATATTAGAGGTGGGGGTGCAGAAATAAGGGATCGGGGCGCACAGCTATGAGGTTGGGGTACTTGCCCCTCCCCCAGAAAAGCGGGACTTGCTGCTAAGGGGGAAGGAGAAGGGGTTGTGGGGGTTTTTTCCTCCCAGAAAGGCGGAGAAGGGGTAGCGACACAGAAGGGGTTGGGGTACTTGCCCCTCCCCTAGAAAAGTGGGACTTGCCACTAAGAGTGAAGGAGAAGGGGTTGGGGGTTTCTTGCCCCCCAGAAAGGCGGAGAAGGGGTAGAGACACAGAGAGTAGGGGTTGGGGTACTTGCCCCTCCCCTAGAAAAGTGGGACTTGCTGCTAAGGGTGAAGGACCAAGGCAGGCATCCTTGCATGGTCTGACACCTTTGAAACCTGGGTGAATAATGAGAGAGGCATCCCTGCAATGATTAAACACCAAGGGAAGGCTGCCTTCTCTAGTCCGTGACTGGCGCCAGAGTTTTGGGTCCATGGATAAAACGTGTCTCCTTTGTCTCTACCAGAAAATGAAAGGAATTGAAATTAAGAGAAGGGAGATATTGAAGTGTGGTGCCAAGATTGAAAGGAGAAAGAGGTTGAGGGATAGTGAGGGAGGTTGGAGAAGAGAGTAAAAAGAGGCCGCTTACCGGATTTGAAATTGGTGAGATGTTTCTTGGGCTGGTCGGTCTGAGGACTTGAGGTCATAGGTGGACCTCTCTCACGGAGCAAAGAGCAGTAGGACAGGGGATTGATCTCCCAAGCGAGGTCCCCCGATCTGAGTCACGGCACCAAATTTCATGCGTGTCCATGTGAAGAGACCACCAAACAGGCTTTGTGTGAGCAATAAAGCTTTTAATCACCTGGGTGCAGGTGGGCTGAGTCCGAAAAGAGAGTCAGCAAAAGGAGATAAGGGTGGGGCCGTTTTATAGGATTTGGGTAGATAAAGGAAAATTACAGTCAAAGGGGGTTGTTCTCTGGCGGGCAGAGTGGGGGTCACAAGGTGCTCAGTAGGGGAGCTTTTGAGCCAGGATGAGCCAGGAGAAGGAATTTCACAAGACAATGTCATCAGTTAAGGCAGGAACAGGCCATTTTCACTTCTTTTGTGGTGGAATGTCATCAGTTAAGGCAGGAACCGGCCATCTGGATGTGTACGTGCGGGTCACAGGGGATATGATGGCTTAGCTTAGGCTCAGAGGCCTGACACTTGGTTTGCTGGCTCTCCATTTAAACCTGCTTTTCCTCCCACCAACCCTCTGTCTGGCTTTTGCATGGTGAGCAGCTGAACCTGGGTCTGTTTACGCTGTCACCTAGTCACTTGTGCAGAGACAAGCAGGCAAGGAAAGAAGCTACCACCATGGCAGGGGTAACCCACCAGGATCACCAGGAGGAGGCGGGGCTGTCACACAGTGGGGGCAGGAGGGCACACATCTGGCACCCAAGTGATCCACTAGGGTGTCTCATGGCAATCCCCTGCCCAATTTAAATGGAAGACGGTCAGCCATGTAGAGCAGACACTGCCTGAGAATCAGGGCATGGGGACTAGAGGTCCAGAACTCTCAAGGATGAGGCAGCTTGGGTCACACCAGGAGGTAAGCCACCTTGACTAGCAGAGGTGATGGCCAAGGGGAACTCTCAAAAGGGTAGTAGGGGAGGGAGAGATGCAGAGATGAGCAGTGCAAGAACTAAAGGGGATGTTGTGGTGTTCTGCCCAGATTCCACTTCAGGAGGGAGGTCATCGTTCCCCTAGATTCCAGAAGTTATCCCTTCCCAGGGATCACCCTCAGCTCTCTTTTTAAAATCCAGGACATCTTAGAAGGGCCATCTAGCTCCAGGCCTCCCCATGGATTTTGACTAAAGCCTTTGTAGTAACTGCATTGCAGTGCAATTTCTTTCTGTGCCCTATTTGCTTCTTTTACTCCTTCACACACATTGTTCCTAAAAGCACTCTACCCCAATAAACTTCCTCTGCAAAAATGTCAGGCTCAGAGTTTGCTTCCACAGAACCTGACCTACTGCAGTCAACATCTTAGTCCAGGCCAACATTGCCTGGCAGCTGAATTACTGTAATAGCCTTCAATGACTTCCTTAGGGACTCCCTTTCAATGCAAATGCCCTTTAGGTCTGCAGTCTGCTCCTAAAACTAAAAAGTCTGTTCAATTTAGCACTGATAATGTCAATTATTAGCTTATCTTCCAGGTGCAGAACAAAGACAGATGAGATCAATGTTGCATAATCTATTCTTTTTTTAACTCCCTTTTTCTTCTTCAAACACTTTTTTTTTTTTTAGACAGCGTCTTGCTCTGTCACCCAGGCTGGAGTGCAGTGGTACAATCATAGCTCACTGCAGCCTTGACCTTCCAGGCCCAAGCGATCCTCCCACCTCAGCTTCCTGAGAAGCTGGTACTACAGGCACAAGCTACCACAACTAATTTAAAACAATTTTTTTTCTTTTTCTTTTTTTTTTTTTTTTTAGAGACAGGGTCTTCCTATCTTGCTCAAGCCTGGTCTTGAACTCCTGGGCTCCAGTGATCCTCCTAACTCAGCCACCTGAGTAGCTGGGACTACAGGCATATGCCAGCATGCTCACCTAATTTTTAAAATTTTTTGTAGAGATGAGGTCTTGCAATGTTTCCCAGGCTGGTGTCAAACTCCTAAGCCCAAGCAATCTTCCCACCTTGGCCTCCCAAAGTACTGGGATTACATGTGTGAGCCACTGCATCTGGCCTAAACTTTCTTTTAAAAATTAGACTTTACTTTTAATGTCTTTTAAGTATTTGTTTGCTCCTAGTTTAAAAGTTATAAGAAAAAATTATTTGATGTAATTCTCCTCCTGCCCCAAATTGATGGTGTATTTGGGAAAAATAATTAAATTATTCTTAGTTAGAAATGTAATAAAGTAGGAGGTCTCGTAAAGTGGTATCCTTTGAACTGTAAGATGAAGGGAATTTCCAAGGCTTAAAACTAGTAAATTTGACAACTAAGGTTAAGATCTATTCTCTCCAGACAAAGCAGGAAGGACAAGGGCTGCAGTAACCTAATTAAAGTGGCTAGACGGAGGTAGGAGTTGGATGTGAAAGCTGGAACCTAACTCAGATGTATGAACATAACAAAAGCAAGAATTTGATAATGGAAGAAATGGGGTTGTTCTGCTTGGAGTCTTGCAAAAGGAAGTCAGGCTGGGTGCAGCGGCTCATGCCTGTAATCCTGGCACTTTGAGAGGCCGACGCAGGTGGAAAAGGAAGTCAACCAAAATTTTTGTGTTTGCTGGAGTAAGGAAAAAAATGAAAATTATTCTATTACTAGTGATTCAGGATTTTTCTCAGCCCCTTCATCAGACTTGTAACAGGTGTTCCCTGTTTACTCAGCCTGCCGCACTCAACCCCTTGTGAGAGGGAGCATGTGAGTGAGTGAGTGTGGCTCATGGTTTCCATGAGGCTTGCTGTGTGGCCATGGGCAGGTGAGCCAGGAGAAAAGGTGATATGCCGACCACTCTGGGTGCCAGCAGGAGCAGGCTCTGTGTGGGGGTGCCTGTGACCCCAAAGCCTAGAAGGAATGTGACCGTGCTCTCTTAGCTACACAGTCTGCAGATGGCTGTGTGTTAACAGCTCAGTTGGTTCCCTGCCTTGTCTCGTGGGGCGGCTGCCCTCTGCCAGCAAGGGCAAAGGGCCAGTGTGACAGCCTTTTTGGGTGCTTGCACTTGGTGGCTCCCAAGCTCTTGTCCAAGAAGAATGCAGTTGCACAGATACTTGAAGGATGGTGAAGGCAGATAATTTTATTTAGTGATGGAAATGGTTCTCAGTCGAGAGGGGAGCTGGAGAGGGGACGGAAAGGGCAGTTAGTCTTTCCTGAAGTCCGGCCACCTCTTCCCTGAAGTCAAGCCATCTCTCTTCTCCAAAGTCCAGCATCTCTCCTCTCTACAAGTTGAGTCTGGGGTCTTTATCGGCACAGGATGGGGCTGGGGCAGGCCGTAGGTAGTTTTGGAAAAGGCAACATTTGATTGGTAAAAAGACATTACTCAGAAAGAACCAATCAGGAGATGGTAGGCAAACAGGAATATTAGTTCTCACTTTGGGCTGTGAGTTTCAGGCTAATTTGACTTGAAGGTGAGGTTTCCTCAGGACATGCCCGTCTGCCTAGAATTTCTCTGTCTCTCACCTCTATCACTAGAACAGTAAAATAATAATAAAGCATGTGTTTCCCAACACAGGAAGAAAAAATACACTTCCTTGTGCTCTGTGTTCATTAACTTCTGATGCCAATGTGGCCTCTCAGTTATCTTCTGACAGAAAGCTGGGAGTGCCCTAAATCTCTAGAACTGTAAATTAATAAACTGGCATTTTGATCAACATATTGATCTACTACTTTTATTATCATTAGTTGGTTCTGAGGCTAATTTGGGTTCTCAAAAAAATTATTAAGTTTATAAAACCTTTAGGTTCTGAAAAAATCAAGTTTAAGTACTAACTCCTAACAAACCCTAAAAACAACCATATTTGGATAGTCAATCTGTCCCTCTCTATCCACATTAATTCCAGCTCTTATGTCAGCTTTCTCCTTTATCTAAAACACACCTTGTACTTTTGAGGAGTTAATGTTAATAAAAATTTCCCTATGAAAAAATGCGTCCCAAATTTGATTTTATTTTCCATGTTATCTAGAAGAGAAGAGACTGAGGATCTTGGATTTTTAAAGGCCTCATGTCCAGTTTCCATGAGGCTTGCTGTGTGGCCAATGGCAGGTGAGCCAGGAGAAAAGGTGAGCCTTGGTGTTATGCCAAGCCATCTAATTACTGGAGACGCCAATGCTTCCCCTATGTTTCACTAGCCATCATTTTTTTCTTTTTTCTTTTTTGAGATGGAGTTTTGCTTTTGTCACCCAGGCTGGTGTGCAATGGCACAATCTCAGCTCACTGCAACCTCTGCCTCCCAGGTTCAAGTGATTTTCCTGCCTCAGCCTTCGAAGTAGCTGGGATTACAGGCCTGTGCCACCATGCCTGGCTAATTTTTGTATTTTTAGTAGAGATTGGGTTTCACCATGTTGGTCAGGCTGGTGTCGAACTCCCGACATCTAGTGATCTGCCCGCCTTGGCCTCCCAAAGTGCTGGGATTACAGACGTGAGCCACTGTGTCCGGCTGCCATCATTTTTTTCATTGGCCCTCTCATCCATGACCCACATTACCTGTAGGTTGCCTTTGTGACCCGAATTTCAAGGGGGTGACTTAATATAGGTAGAGAAATAGTGATGTTAATGAGGAACTTGTTGGAACTTACAGAACTGAATAGTTTTCTGGTTTCCAGAAAGAAAAATATTTGATCCCAATGAAGCTATTTTTGGCTTCCTATTTTCTGGCCCCAAATCTTCCAAGAAAAAGTCTAAGGTCACACAAAATGAATCATATGCCTGTGGCCTGGGTGGTTTTCAGTAGTTAAACCATTTAACTTTTCCAAACACTCATTCCACCAAGCTCAGGAAAAATACAAAGTTCACTCACTTCTTACCTGAAGCCTATTTCAGTCCTTGGGTTACCTGTGGAGATTTTATTTCATTTAGAATGAATGGAAAGGTTAAGCTAGGGCTGGAAAAGCACCCTGCATTGGCTAAATCCTGTCTCTGCTATTGTTGCAGCTATAACTCCACAGGGGGTCATGTCTGAAATGGAGGAGAGTTAATAAGACCTTAGGCCAGGCCGGGCACGGTGGCTCACGCCTGTAATCCCAGCACTTTGGGAGGCCAAGGCAGGCAGATCACAAGGTCAGGAGATCGAGACCATCCTGGCTAACATGGTGAAACCCCTCTCTACTAAAAATACAAAAAAATTTGCCAAGCGTAGTGGCACATGCCTGTAATCCCAGCTACTCAGGAGGCTGAGGCAGGAGAATTGCTTGAGCCTGGGGGGCAGAGGTTGCAGTGAGCCGAGATTGTGCACTGCACTTCAGCCTGGGCAACAAAGCAAGACTCCATCTCAAAAAAAAAAAAAAAAGACCTTAGGCCAGGAAAATCACTGCCTAGAAAAGTGAACAGGAAAAAACTCACTGTGCTGTAACAAAAAACACTGATCTTGAAATCATGAGTAATGTGACTCTGTCATCTAACCAGAGCCTGCAAGAGTACAAAATGTTGGTCAGATCCTGCGTATGTGTCACTGGTCTAGACATCTCTGCTTTACCTGAGGTGTCTGGCCTACCTCTATGATACATTTTGGACTGGGTGGGACACAGATTTCAGATAGCTGCCATGCCCACACCCACTTTGGAGGCCACTGATCTTGTTTTCCCTCAGCTCCCATTATTCAAGTGGATTGGTTTGTACCACAAAACCCTGTGCACTCCTCTCACTACTCTAACCCTCCAATAGTGGCTGGGTACAATCAGTAGGCTAGCTAGCAACTAAGGCATGGCTGAATCTGAAATGAAAGAATATAGCCAGTAAAGTCAAGGCAAAGGCAAGTCAAAGTTTAAGTAATTAGATGTTGTAATAGATGGGTGAGGATGCCAACTGACATTAAGAAAAGACTTGACAAGAGGTTAGCTTGTTTCAGATCAACCCTTCAATCAAAAATAATGAGGAAAGCTGTACAAAGCATAAAAATATACTTGAAGGTGTTGGAGTGCTACCGCAGTAACTACGACTTTAGGGGCCAAGACCCCAGAGAGAAGGAAGCCCAGAGAGGGAAGACTGGTATTTGGTGTTGTAACAGGACTGCCAGGTTTGTATGCCCGCTGGGCGACAACAGATCAATACTACACTGACAACGGGAACTGCAGCAACATTGGAATTTAATAATCCAAGGCTGCTGGATGAGAAAATGGAGGGGAATTCTCAAGCCATGAATCTGTTCCCTCGAGGGGTTCTGGGCGTGTCTTTAAGGGGATGGTGGAGGACAACAGGCTGGAAAATTGGGGTTGTTGATTGGTCCTGGTAAAGAGATGAAATCATAGGATATGGAAACTATTCTTCCATGAGTCAGCTTCTTACGGGGCCCTTCAGCCAGCCGGTGTCAGTAGTTTCGTTGATATGCAAAACCTAAAGGAGAAACTCTTAGATTTTAGCTATAGAACAAAGTCTTGTGACAAGGCCTACATTTTCCTGGGGTAGTAAGCAGCGGCCAGCTACAGGGAAGTAGGCCAAAGGGCAAGCTGGCTTAATGATTACTGCTCATTGTACTGCAAACCTAGTTGAATTTTATTTTCTCCCTTAATCAATTTTATAAAGTTTTCTTGGGGATGGTTTCAGTGCCACATCTGCCAATTTGAAAGCAGTGGCTGAGAAACTGAGCAGTGATTTTGGACTTTCACAAGGCTGGGGTGTTTGTAATTACAATTCAGGGCCCGCCAAAGATGAAACCCAGTCTTTAAGTTTGTATATCTAAAGGGCTACACCCTAGTAGTAAAAGAGAAACAGATCAGTTCTCAGAAGGCTGAAGATCATCTTCCAAACAGCTCATTCCCTTATTTCCTACCTTGTTTGCCAAAAGTAAAAGTAGATCATCTTGAGGAAGATTATAACATCTACAGCCTCAATTATGTACAGATTTTCATATACTGTGTCTGGCATTCAATCAGAATGTATTCTGAATGAATACCAGTGTCTGGTATTCAATCAGAAATACACAGACAAAAGACAAAACAGAGAAACAAGAGGGGGAAAAAAAAAACAACAGAAACAGAATCACAGGAGACCCAGATGTTGGAATTATCATATATGAGCTTTAACTGTAGTTAATATGTTTAATAAATTAAATAGTGAGCAAGAACATCAGCAGGTAACTGGAAATATATTAGAGGATCAAATGCAAATTCTGGAACTGAAAAATATACAAATTAAAATTAATAACTCAATAGATCAGTTTAGCAGAATATTAGATACAGATGATGAAAGAAAAATAACAACTGGAAGATATGTAGAATAAAATATTTAAACTAAATATGGAGAGACCAAAGATAGGAAATTCAGAAAAGAACATGAGATAAAGGACATGGTAAAATATGTGTATAATTGTGGTGTGAGAGGAGGAGAGAAAAATAATATGGCAGAAGGAATATTTGAAGAGATAATGGCCAAGATTCAGTGATAATAAAAAACACTTTGGCAAGATAAATACAAAGAAAACTACACACAGGCACTATATGGAAAGCTTTAAAAATCAAAGACAAAAATAATTGGAGGATTAAAAATACATTGCCCTTAAAAGAGCAACAAGACTAAAAAAATCATGAAAGGTAGAAGACAGTGGAATGATTCCTTTGAACTGCAGAAAGAAAATAACTGCCAAGCCAAATCTCTGTATCTCACAAAAATAAAGTCTCTGTATTTATTTCTGTATCTCACTGAAATAGTCTCTTTCCTCCAAATTCAAGATAGCCTTTGTTCACAGGAGTTGACTCGGGGTAATCAAAAGTTATATGCAGATTTTCAACTGTGCCGGGCGTTGGCACCCCTAATCCCTGCGTCGTTCAAGGGTCAACTGTATTACAAACACACAGAGGCACTACTGGGTATCTGGTTAAGTTCAGTGCTATCCTGGAATGTTGACTTTATATGATAAAGACAGGTCAAGAATATTTGCTTTAAGATGAGGCCACAGATGTGGAGTATTTTTATATGGGCCGGTTGCTTCTGTATCCGTAAATAGTGCTCTCATAAGAAAAAAGGAACCTCGGACTGAAAGATGACTTTCCCCTTTTGGCATGGTTCACTGGGCACTGAAACTGAATGGCATCTTTAAAAGTTTCACAGACAAGGTAGATTCATCTCCAGTTATTTGCTGTTAATGCTTGAGAAATTGCAAAGCAACCTTGGGATCCTCTTGCATTAAATTACATTTTCCCAAGGATGAAGCTTAATTATATTTAGTTGCCTTGGATAAGCACCTATGGAGGAAAAATTTTTTTTTTTTTTTTGGAGACAGCATCTCACTTTGTCACCCAGGCTGGAGTGCAGTGGTGCAATCTCAGCTCACCGCAACCTTCGCCTCCTGGCGGAGTAATCTTCCCACCTCAGCCTCCCAAGTAGCTGGGACTACAGGCACACACCACTGTGCTCGACTAATTTTCAAGTTTTTCTGTAGAAAAGGGGTCTCTATTGCTCAGGCTAAGAATAAATATTTTATATAAGTAAGTGCTTATATACCCAGGAAGCCACCATTCTGTCATGCCCTTACTTCACAAAGTGTTGCTTTCCACCCTTCCCCAGGGGAAAACACACCTAACATGGCAAGATTCATTGGCTACAGTTCAGCGAAACATTTTTGGATCCTTTAGGAGGAAAAATCTTACATAAACTGCACTTTAAGAATAAGGTTGTGCAGGATCTGGATTAAAAAAAAGAATAAGGAAGAAGTTTTATGGGACCTAAATTTCACGTCAACAGCCCTTTGAATCTCTGGCTCTACGAGGAATGCAACTAATCCAGGGAATGCCTTTCTTTGAAGATGTTTTATGCCACTGTGACCCCAGAGGAAAGATAGATAGCAAATTATTTGGACTCTGATGCAAAAGGCATATAATCTGTATCCTGCTGGTTCTGGTTCTTACTAATAAATAGTTAAAATGATGCATTAAAGGATTATAAGTGATTTAATCAAGAATATGTCTATTCTCATTGTAAATTAGCTTGCATTTTCTGTATTATATGTGAAATCACTGAGTTAGTACACACTGCAAATATACCAAACAAGTTTGTACCTGCCTTTGATGACCATAATCCAAATGTTCTTTCCATTTTCTGTATTGTAGTTTAGTCTGTGATTGAACATTTTTATCCTACATGTTCTATCTAATATTGTTAATATGTAACATCGAGATAAATTCAGAAGACAAACTACAACCCTTGCACTAAGAAAAGTGTGAAACAGACCATGTTTTAACATGAAGTATGATGTACGCTTTTGATCTATTGCAAGTTGAAGCACATGTTTACAGGCCAAAGCTTGTTTAAAATGATTTCAGAACCAAGTGTGAACATGCCATACAGAACTTAATATAGTGTACTCTAATTTTTCTCAGTTTGACAAAAAATGGACAGAAGGCAAAATGAAAAAAAATTTATTTCCTCAGTGTTTTATCCACTGTCAATACTGTATTTTTGATGCAATATATTTGCCAAAAGAACTCAGCTTTTATTTTCCATTTTAAACAACTACAATATTTACAAGCTGTTCAGAATAACACTCAGACACACACACACTCACAGACACACGTAAGTACATATGTCCTTATCTCTGGTTTATACTGAATGCTGGTAAAGGCCATGAATACTTTCCAGAGCCCATGATCAGAAAAGGAAAACCCATTTTCCTTTCTTACGTTCACTTTCCTAGAATCATTTTCAATATTCCTCCTTCCATTTCCTCATGCAGAGCTCATTGCCAGACTTGTATAGGTTTAATCAGTTTTTACATTTTACTTTTACTTAAACTATAAGCTTTTAAAAAGCATAAGCAGACATGATTCCCCCCCCCCCCCCCATTTCTATTATTTTGGTTGTAGAATCAAGCTTCATAGATAAAAAATCTTGTTCAATCACAAGTACACTAAACCCAAGAGTCATCTGGAGCAGCCATCTTATGCTCTATCACTACTCTGTTGTGAATTCCGGGGCACCACCTCATTGTGCAGGTAAAACTCAGGAATTCATCCCCATCACAGTGTTAGATGACCTTTGTTCCTTCTAGCTTGGCTCCACTGAATCATAAATTGTCAGGTACAGAGCTGAGGCATAAGAAAAAAGGTATAACCCTATATAATAGGTATAAGTCTTAGAACAGAGTTGTCATATAACCTTGTGGTGACAATCAGCTCTAGTTCCACCAAAGAATGTAAGGTTGATTCCACAAAATGGCAGATAATGAAGTTCAACTCACAAATAGAAGTTATCTTAATTCAGAAAAAGTATGTTGTATGTAGGCAATAAAGATAAATTGTTATACATAATTCTTGACAGATGACTCTGGTGAGGTGATTCAAAGTAGAAAATATACTTCTGTTTCAAGCAAACTTACTCCACTCATATCCTACCAGATTTATTTGTATAATAATTAATTCCTTTCCAATCACAGTTCTTCCTAGACAGACATTTAACAAGTAAAAATAAGACGGCCTGGGTGCATATCAATCAACCAAATTAAAAACAAACAAAAAAGATAGATAAATGGAGAAAACGATTGGCTTTTTAATACTTATTTTTAAAAAGCCATATTCAATGTAATATTAGAATTATGCTGTCCCAATGCATGGTAGTATCTAATTTTTTTCTTCCTCAACACCAATGAAACAATATCCATGTAAGACTGAAACAGAATGTCCAACCTCCATTAGCAAGTTCCATGTACCACATTAGCCTTGACTGACGTTATTATCTCCACTAATCTCTGAATTAAAGGAAAAGCCTCTAGAATAAAAAGGGACACTTTATACCTTATCTAAACCATGTATCCTATCAAAAGAGAAAATTAACTGGGTCTCTGTCCAAAGTAACTTTATATGATTACATTACACAGAAAAAGAATACGAATGAATAATGACGACTTAAAAAACAAACATACACACACACACACACCCCAGAAAAGGCTTTGTCCATATTCATGACAAATTAATTAAAATAAATATAAATGAAATTAACAATCTGGACAGCAGTTTATGGTTAAGTAGCTAGTAAATATAAATTCAAAGAATTCTGACAAAATCATTATTACCTTTTTCTCAAGTCACATATTTATTTAGGAGGAAAGATGCTTGAAAGCTAGCTATAAGAAAAGGACAACTTTAGACACTGGGTGAATCTTCAGCTTAAAAGGCCCAGTGCTGGATGAATGACTCACAACAGCAATCCACCAAATGCAGAGCTGCTAAGCAGAGGCAGAAGGATGCTGCTCAGAAGCACAGAGGAATTTATCAAGGCTATAAGCTAAACTTGCTGAAAAATGTGAGGCTGATTTTTATATTTTGGTATGTGATGGAAAAATAAACTAATTCAGAAAGAAAAACACATCTTCTTAATGGGTTTTCTACACAAAAACTTACATTTTCATTGCCTGACATTTAGTATACAGAGTAATTTTCCATATCTCACTTAGGATACAAATATTGTCTGACTACTTCTGTTTTAAGAATTATAAGTAGTTCAGATATACTTGAAATATTTTCCAAAATACTTCGAATCTAATAGAAATAGATTATCATCCTCCAGTAACAAAGTCAAAGAAGGCAGAACACTGGTTAAGTTTGTTCACTAATTTCCTAAAAGGTAATCTCTTAAAAAATATACATACAGCCTCACCACTTACTCTTCCAAGTTCCTTAAATATCAACATCTTATGTTAATCTAGATTCTTGGAAAAATTAAAGTTCTTTAGCAAAAAGTCAACATTAAAGTTTTATCCAGTGTTGAAAATGGTGTAAAAAGAGAGTTCACACCAAGGTATAAGTTGGAAGATTAACCAAAAACTTAGGAGTTATAAAATGTTTTTTGCCACTGAATGAAAGAAATAAAGGAAAAAAAGGCAATAATTTATAACTCATTCCACGATTACCTTTCTCTCAAAAGAGGGGGTGGCGGAAGAATTAAACAAGAAAAAGCAAAGTTTTCAATCATACAACTCCACCAAAAGGAAATGAATAAAAAAGCTAGTATTTTAGTTACATCTTTTAACTTTCAAATTATGGAAATTAAAGCATTGGCAAATTTATAAACTAAAGACATTAATGTATGCTGAAGTCTTGTACATAACTGAAAAAAAGCAGAGAATCTAAACGAGTCACTCACTATTCTCTGGGGGGTGAGGGGTGAGGCAGGAACAAGAATTTATGATCAATTTAGTTAACACAAGTATGTTTATTTCCATATAATAATTTAGATCAAATTATTCTTAAGAAATGGATCTTTCTTCAATTATCACCAATTCCCTGATGCAATTACTAGAAAAGTATTATGATTTTTAAAAGATTGTCAGTTTTAGACTCTTAAGAAAAACAACAGGGCTTCTTCTCAGGGTTCCTAATTTATAAATTCACTAAAGAATTATATATGTTAACAAAATTCAACTTGTTTTGAGAAAAATATATGTCAATTGCTACCCAAAATCAAAACCCAACATATATGTTCCATATAAAGTCTAGTCTTGCATTTGAAATCTGACTTTTCAGAGTATGTGATGTGTTTAAAATTTTTTTGGAGGAGGGGCTAGAAATTAAAAAATTCTAGCCCTTCAGATTAAATCATGTAAAGGTCAGATTTTTTTTCTGTGTGGGAAAATGAATTATCTTCCATCTAAGATTGAAAAGGCTCTACTTTTATCTAGGCAATGACCATGAAAAGATCATATTCACTTCAGAAAGGGAAGAAGCAGCAGGGAACATAGTTCCTTTCAGAAGATTTTAAAAATATACGTATACAGAGAAATAGATTATAAATTCAGTTTCAGAAAAAAACCCTCCAAAACCAAAAACAACACTAAACTTTAATGGCATACTGTAGATCTGCCAAAATGAGGCAAATGCAGAACATAATGACGGTATCACAAAAATACATTTTTAAATGGTCAATTTAGAAAGGGTACTTTTGTATAAAGGTTCAGTAAATCATTTGACAAGTATTTTTAAACAGTAAATTTTGTAAAGTGTGAAGTCTATGGAAATGTCAACACAAGGCACATTAGGTTCTGAATGACCACAAAAGTTTAAAATTAGAAAAAGGGAAAATAAATAGGTTTTAAAGTGGAAATGCAGTAAGTTCTGTATGTTCACTATTTACTTTCTTAGTTTTCATTCCTTCTACTGTAATGTTATGCTATAATGTGAGATCTACATCAGAATTGGTAGGAAAAACAGCTTCTCTCTTCTGTCACCTCAACAAAAGATACTTTAAATCTGTACTGTCTAATACAGTAGCCACTAGGTACATGTAGCTATTGAGTACTTGAAATATGGCTAGTGACATATGATGAAATAGTAATACTTTGACTATACTGGGTGAAACAAAATGTATCATTAAAATTAATTTTACCTGTTTCTTTCAATGATTTATTCACAAGGGGTAGAAAGATGGCTGCTCCTAAATGCTCAGAGGAGATGTACAATTTTCTTTGGAGTTTCACACCAAAAGGGAAAATTTTATCAAGGATTTAAAAAATGCTAAGAGTTGCAAATTAAATCTAAATTGAAGTTCCTATATCGCCCAATTGTAAATATGAGTAATATATTTCCCTGAATATGCATTTAAAAAAAATAAAGTTATGAGACAACATATGAATTAAGTCAATTTCACAGTTATAAATATTTCAATTTACAGCTACACACTATAAATTACAGGAAATAAAATTCAAGTAACAGAAAAAGAAGAGGGGAAAAATAAAAAGCAAAATTATTAAAGAGGGATATAATAATAACTGCACCACTTGGATACTTTTATTTGAAAAAAAATTTTACTTGACTAACTGAACTGCATGTGAATAACTTCAAGAGCTAGAAACTCATAAATAAAAGGCAATCGATCCTTTCTTTAAATTCCTGGACATTCATCTTCTTCTTAAAGAAAATTGTTTTCTTCCCAGAAGCACGCCCAGCAGAGCTTGCTCTGGTGGAGAGAAGCAGAGCACATGGGCTCCTCTGAGATGTAGACACAGGAGCTGGCAGTGGTGTTCACAAGACCGATCCGCTGACTATTGGCTCTGGGAAATGTCAATGATGAAGCTACGTATATCTTGAGATTCTATATTCACTTTAAAGAAAATACCCAATGTCCTGGCATGAAGTACACACTACTAACAGAAAAATGAGCAGCACAGTTCCTGCTACCTGTGTTTATAAGGAAAGGGAAGGGGCTAATCCCAAAGGCAATTTAAATAATGGTATTTTATTTTTATATATAAATAAATGTTCTGAGAAATCTCAGACTTTAGTGCATTGCTGTAAAAAATTAGTGCAGTTTTTTTTATTAAAGTTTTTAGCGCTCAAGGAATAAGATAAATCTATGTCTGTTCATAGTCTCTTTCACTGTACATTAAACTTTTATACTGCTATAAGTCAAAAGGAACATTTCTACACTGGTCTGTTCTTAAAAATCAAGGTAAATGAATTTCATGTTCTATGACAAAACATGGCAATTATTTTTGGCAAAGAAATTAGAAAAATATGAGATCATAGTTTAGAAATGAAGAGTTTGTTGATTTAAAGCATAGGCAATGCATAGGAAAAACTTTTTTTAAGGATGTATTTTAACAGAACTTTATCCTTCATGCAAAATGTTTTCTCGGCAGCTAACTTAAAAAAATATTTCAGCTTTATTTGGGGATGGAGACAGTGACAGGAGTCAGGGTGAAGGGCAAAGGAGAGGTGCTTAACCAAGCTCATTCTATTTTCAGTCGCTCCCACATAGGATCAAAGTGATACCTGCAGGCATCTTCTGCTTGTTCCTCTCTTTTTCCAATGCCTTGGAATTGAGAGGGAAAAAGAAATGTCTTTATAATAAACACTGGCTCACACTTCAGCCCCAAGTTCTAGTACCCCAGTTTCAATTACAGTCACATATTTATCATCAATCTGGACCAGAAGCACTGCCTTGTCGATGTGGGATCTGGTACCTGGATCTCTGCTGCAAGGCACCCATCGGTGAATCACCTAATGATTCAGAATAAAACAAGAAGTTAGCACTGGAGACCTGGAATATACTCACAAACTCTTACCCCTACCTAGGATTAGTAGTAGCAATTTTGTCTGAAAATTATACGTTTAAGTATAAATCAGCTAAAACCATGCATCCAAGTGAGGCGGACTTCAAAAAAGGCAGAGCCCCAGACCGCCAGCTTGTAAAAGAACTTACATGGCCTTCCATGCCCTCCTGCGGACTCCAGTCTTTCCAGCTATTTCTCCCAGCTTTTAACCGGATTCCTTCATCAGGCCACTGTAGCTCTTTCCTTTTAGACAGGTTGATCCCTTCCAGAATTTGACTGGGATCCACAATCTACATGGTAAATAAAAACATTTCCAATTCATTTTTTTCTTGATGATGAAAAATTATGTAATCTCAAACAAAATGCTTTTCACAGAGAGGAATTACTTTTTAAATTCCTATAATGGAATAAAAAAAAAATCTTAAGAGCTACATCTTGAATTCTTTTCAGCCCTCTGGTAGACCTCACTGCAATGTCCATGAGACAGTGGCTGAACAAGGAACATATATCACCATCACAAAAACTGTTTGCTTTCAGTTTTTAAGTTTGAAGAAATTTTTCCCCAACATTCAAAAATATTCTAGTCCTGAGACTAAGATAAGGTGTGTATTCACAACAGTCCTTCATTCAACAAATAAGAAATAAAAACAAATAAGTAACAAAAACAGCACAAGACCACCTCTGGGCTTACTTACTTGGACTCTGTAAATCACTTCTGCCTTTCTGGAGTGTGAATTGTTGGCAGGACTTAAGGTGTTGCCTGGCTGTGCATCAGTGGCACTGCTCTGACCTCCCTCTGTCGCAAGAAAGCCCACGAGAGTGTGATGTTTGCAGGCTGGGATGCTTTGGCTGGAGCTGCTGGAGGAAGGCAGGCCGTGCTGCACACAGGCCAGGCCGCTCTGACCTGAGGGTTCCATTTGGTTCACCATCGACAGTCGGGATTGGATGGATGATGGCAAGTTTCGAAGCGATATCTGACTAGTAGAAGAGCGCCGACAAGGCACAAACCCAGTGGTGGACATCCGGAGGGATGAATGCCGGCTGCTATAGCAGTAGGAAGACTGGCTGGCTACTGAGGCCCGGGCAGGAGACTGTCTGACCAGGCCCGACTGCACAGAGTGAGAGCTGTGGCTAGTGCCTAGGAGGAGAAACAGCAGCACTCACTCAAAGTAGAATGACTCAGACACAATACTTCTGTTTTGCAGTTTCTAAGACTTTTTCCCCTAAGCAATTAATTGGTGAACTGACAGAACTTAACGTTTATGCCTAAAACTTTTAAAGTTAAGAAAAAGAAATACGTATCTGAGATCTATTTTCTTTTGTGGTTCTTGTAATATATTTTTTATTTGCTAAAGTTTTTTAAAGTTCAAATTCTGTGGCATATGAAAGACAATTAATAATTAAATATTTTACAGCAAATATCAGGACTTAAGGTTGGGATAAATCCTAAAATATGTTTCACAGAAGCATTTTAAAATAACAAGAATACTTCCATAATATATCAGAAATGAAATATCTCACGGAAATGAGACAGTCAGAAGGATTTACTAAGAAACACTGCATGATCTCACTTGTGGAATCTGAAAACCCCGAACTCACAGAAGCAGAGAGTAGAATGGTGGTTGCCAGGGGCTGGGGAAGAGGAGGTGTTGGTCAAAGGGTACAGAGTTCCACTGAGTCAAGAGGAACAAGCTCTGGAGGTCTACTGTACAGCCTGGGGACTAGAGTTAATAATAATGTGTTGTATGCTTAAAAATTGTTGAGTAGCTCTAAAACATTCTTATCACAAAGAAGTATATGAGGTGATGGATAGGTTAACTAGCTTAATTTAATCATTTCACAATATATTCACATATCAAAACATGATGTTGTATACCATAAATATATATAATTTTTGCCAGTTAAAAAGAAATATTTATTAAGGCCCTACTATGTGGCAAGCTCTATAACTACTATTTCTCAAAGTATAGTATTACTGCCCTTTCAACTTCTACCAAGGAAAAGCTACACTGTCTATAGAGAGACAGTGAATACCACGCTGTAATTTTCATATACATTTGGGGATCACTACTAAATCGGAATGATCAGTGGCACTGAAAAGCAGGTTCTTCTGCATCCTTTTTCAAGTGGCTTGATATGATTCTTCAGACTTGTCTTTTTCTTGACTCATAAGAGTAATGTAAAATTAATTACATTGAAACATAGCTACATGTACTTTTTACCTAAAAATAAAAAGAGCTAATCAAGGTAAGAACAAAAAGTACATTTAAAGAACACTGAAAGTTTTAGGTTTTCACCTAAATAAAAAATATTTAATTATTCATTATGTCTTTCATATGCCACAGAATTTGAACTTTAAAAAACTTCAGCAAATAAAAAAAAAATTACAAAAACCACAAAAGAAAACAGATCTCAGATACGTATTTCTGAACATCCAAAATGTTGATCTATCAGGTCTCTTCACTTGAATCCCATTGAAAATATATATATTTAAATTTAATAAATGTCTTTACATTTAAGTAAATGTCTTAGAACTTTATTTGATTCACGTGAAGCAGTCAGGGGGGCAGTTGGGGAGAGGATCAACTTCTTCATATGGCTGGATCAACTGCCCAGCCATATGGAGACAGTTGAGACCTGATTCCTTCTGCACACCAGGTGGATTGTAGATCTCATGTCAAAGGGAAATTAATAAAAGCATACTTTGAGGGCCTAGGGACAGGGAAAATTTTCTTAATTAGGACATAAAAAGTACTAATGATAAAATAAATGAATAGTAAGTTGTTCTCACTAAAACTAAGGACTTCTCATCAGAAGAAGGCAAGTAACTCTTCACAGTAAGAGAATGAAAAGACAAGGGACAGAATGGGAAAAGATATTTGTGGTACAGAAAACTGAAAGAGCTCAAATCCAGAATATAAAACACAAATCAGTAAGAAAAAGATAACCAAATAGAAAAATAGGCAAAAGATGTAACTAGGCACTTTAGAAAGAGGAGCTGCTGATAAATTCATTAAAAACTTCCATTCTTAGGTATCAGAGTAATGCAAATTAAAAGAATAAAATTAAAGACCACCCCTTCTCCTGCCCCCACTGGAGCAAGCAAGGAGCAGAGGCAGGAACTGACAATCTTCAAAGCTGGGAAGGTTGATAGGACTGGTGAGAGTACCAACTGGTTTAAAAAAAAAAAAAAACCTTTCTGGAAAGATTTTTGGCATTATATATCAAGAGTCTTATTCTCATAGGCTTTGGCCTAGTGATTTCATTTTTAAAGTCTCTAACCTATGAAAATAATAAATGATTATAAAGACTTATATACAAAGACTATTACAACATTGTTAGAAGAAAAACCAAGTAATTGTCCAACAGGGGAGAAGTTAATTATAATAGTTAAATATTGTTAGCCTTTAAAAATTATATTTTCAGCTGGGCGTGGTGGCTCACGCCTGTAATCTCAGCACTTTGGGAGGCCAAGGTGGGCGGATCACAAGGTCAGGAGATCGAGACCATTCTGGCTAACATGGTTGAAACCTCGTCTCTACGAAAAATACAAAAAAAAAATTAGTTGGGCGCAGTGGCATGCACCTGTAGTCCCAGCTACTCGGGAGGCTGAGGTAGGAGAATGGTGTGAACCCAGGAGGCAGAGCTTGCAGTGAGCCGAGATGGCACCACTGCACTCCAGCCTGAGCAACAGAGTGAGACTCTGTCTCAAAAAATTAAAAATAATAAAAAAAATAAAAATTATATTTTCAAAGAATCCTTAATATATTAAAATGTTTATGTTGAATTATCAAGTTTTAAAAGTATATATACAAATATATAAAATATATATTTATATATATAAAATAATATGAACAAATGGAATAATGTACAACTTGGAATAAAAAAAATTATATTTCTGGGCTGGGTGTGGTGGCTCACGCCTGTAATCCCAGCACTTTGGGAGGCCGAGACGGGCAGATCATGAGGTCAGGAGATGGAGAACATCCTGGCTAACATGGTGAAACCCTGTCTCTACTAAAAATGCAAAAAAATAGCCGGGCGTGGTGGCAGGGGCCTTAGTCCCAGCTACTCAGGAGGCTGAGGCAGAAGAATGGCATGAACCCGGGAGGCGGAGCTTGCAGTGAGCCGAGACTGTGACACTGCACTCCAGCCAGAGCAAGACTCCATCTCAAAAAAAAAAAAAAATTCTATTTCTGAATTTCCAAGTGGACCACATGTAATCCTCTTTATACACATATACTAACCAGCCTCTATGGCTAAGAAGCTAACATTAGACATATAACTTTGTTTCACATTACCTAGTGTTGGAGGATAAGATGTGACAGGTGGGTGGAGTCCAGTTCCTGATCCCTGCCCAGGATTTCCAATGCTTCCCTGGGTCACGTTGCTGTGGGGATTGTTGGCAGTTGTTGCATTGTTACCAGTGCAGGAAGTCCCACCTCCAGTATCAGAATCTTCAATATTGCCACCACTGTTACATCCAGCTCCGCAACCTTTCCTAAGCCTAGGAACAAATACCAGAGTAGGAAGCATTATTCCAAGATCACTTCAAAATGGGTATTTTATTCTTTTTCCAGCTATTCTGAACTGCAAATGCTACTAATGTTCACCTTTTAAAGTCTTTATGGTGCAATCAATATTAGGAACAAAAAAACTCATTACGTTTTCAAAGAGTGGCTTAAGAACTATACCCGTCATATTCACTGCCTCAAATCTTTCATATGCTCTATTATCTGTCCTGCACCATAATAAAGAACTGTATATAACTCAGTTGTACCATTAAGATCACAGCTGGAAATGGAATTTTTTTTTTTTTGAGACGGAGTCTCGCTGTCACCAGGCTGGAGTGCAGTGGCACAATCTCGGCTCACTGCAACCTCCACCTCCAAGTTCAAACGATTTTCCTGCCTCAGCCTCCTGAGTAGCTGGGACTACAGGCGCCCACTACCATGTCCAGCTAATTTTGTATTTTTAGTAGAGATGGGGTTTCATCATGTTAGCCAGGATGGTCTCAATCTCTTGACCTTATGATCTGCCCACCTCAGCTTCCCAAAGTGCTGGGATTACCCAGTGTGAGCCACAGCGCCGGGCCTGGAAACAGAATTCTTACCAGTGCCAATGTCTGTTCAGTGACTCTGAAGTATGTAACCCCTGAAAACCTAATTTATTTATACTGTTAATATAGTGTACTTGAAGAGAGGTGCTGAAATCATTTTTCCTATTTTTAAAAAATGGAGAGTGACTAAGCAAACGAGGACAATTGGGCACTCTATGCCATTTTTCTTAGGGGGAAAGAATCTCTTTACGGTAATTCCAGCATATTAGATCTTTTTTGGAAAGAAAATTTCTTTGAACACTCCCCTGACTTATATTGTGCCTTCTGTTTGGGCGGAGATTGAACATTTGAGAGTTTGCTGCTTTAATTGCCAGATTTGGTTTTCTTAAGCTATATTTAAGAATCTGAACAACCCTTATGTTCTGCAATATTTCTTCATCATCCAAACTATGATGTTCCTACACCAGACATAATTTACTAGACAAAAGACAGAGAAAAAAAATCATGTGAATATTTGAAAACACTGTAGATTTCAGATCTGAGTGAGAATGTATTGTTAAAAAGGCAGTAGTATCTCTGCATTGCCATCAAGTTTCAATGTGTACAGAGTGCTCCCCCTAGTGTTGGAACAGAATGGTAAACTAGACAAAGTAATCAACTTGCATGTTATGTTTTTCTCTTAACTTCCCGTTTGTACAGAACAAATATTCAAATATTCTAATAGTGGTAATATACAACAGAAAGTTAAAAAAATTAAACAAATAAAGGGAATTTTCCAAGATTCTACCAAGTAATGGAGCAATGGTTCTTAACCAGTTATACATCAGATTTATCTAATAAGATTTTGAAGATAAGAATGCTCAGATTCTACTTCTTGAAGTTCAGAAATAATGGGTTCATATTGTACCATGGCACCTGTAATTTTTTCTACAAGCTTCCCAGGTGATGCACACTGCCTAGATTAAGAGGGTCAGGAATACACCAGCACTGAATAATACAATCCCTTGGCTCACCTGTGCCAGGTTGACACTATGAAGTTCCTGATATTTCCCAAGCTGATAGGACCCCCAAGAATGTCTTTAAGCTGTTCGTGGCTGTCAGAGTAAGAAGTTGTCAGGGGTGAGACAAAGATTGGGTAGCCAATAGGTTGATCACAAGATGAGTTTATCATGTTTCTCAGGGCTTGCTTTGCATTTTGGATGCTACCTCTCTCTGGGTTACGGTTACGTAGAAAAACAAGCTCCTGCTGTTGCCCTGCCCAAAGACCTCGGACACATTCCTTATTCACCTGAAAACCAGAACACAAGGGAATTAGGTTAAGGGGCCAAGAATAAAATTCACAGAAACAGAAGAGCAGAAATGGGAGGAATACAAAAGATATTATGATAACCAGTTGTGAAAAGCGGGGAACAAATATAAGTAGGTCACATTTAAATAGGAGGTAGCCAATTTCCCTTTGTCATTAGCAGGTTGCTAAATAATAAGTATCTACACAGCTCTTTCTTCATGCTCTGTATTTAAAGTATCAAGTAAAATAAAGTCAATTTAGTTTTTTAACTTGGCAAAGCACTGATAAATAAGACTATAGACATCTTTTATAGAAATGAGAGATAAATATTTACGGTTGAAAGAATGTTTATGACATTTGTGGGTCGATTAATGTGAATTTAAAAAATAACTATAAACTATCAGAATAAAATTTCAGAAATTAAGCCTCTTAAAGCACTGAGATGTTTAAAAAAACAAACAAGCAAAAGTTAGAATGAACTATTTAACTTCTGATCTTTATTAAGTACATGGTATGCTATCATTTTGCAACCTAAGAATCATATTATATTAGCAATATGGTGCTGACTTTTTAAAAAGAGATGCTGCCCAAATTGCATATATAAAATATATAAGACCTGCCATTTAATGGATAAAAGACTGTCAAAACTGAAATAACCAAAAATTTTAAGGCTTTATGGCACATGAGAAACTTTCAGAGGACAGAATAAAGTACTAAAAAAAAATAAGTAAAATTAAGTGCTCATAAACAAGAAAGACAAATGTAATATGGTCATCACATTTTTTTTCTGTGAAAAAACTTTCAATTACTTTTTAAAAGTTTACATCAAGGCTGGGCGTGGTGGCTCACACCTGTAATTGTACAGCTTTGGGAGGCTGAGTCAGGTGGATCACTTGAGGCCAGGAGTGTGAGACCAGCCTGGGCAACATTGCAAAACCCTGTCTCTACAAAAAACACAAAAATTAGCCGGACATGGTGGTGCATGTCTGTAGTCCCAGCTTCTCGATAGGCTGAGGTGGAGCAAAGGGAGGTCGAGAGCCTGCAGTAAGCCCATGATCATGCCACTGTATTCCAGCCTGGGCCCAAAGTGAGACTCTGTCTCAAAAAAAAAAAATTTTAGATCAAGTTATTCAACTTCTATGTTTTGGACCAAATAAATACCTCAAACACTTACTTTAATGACCCTGAAGCTCAGGTAGCGTCTGTTGAGCATGATGATTTTATATTCATTGGTGCCATCATCCATGACATGCCGCAGAGCAAGCAAGGAGGGAGAGTTGGCAAGTACTGCACTCCGCCATGCAGGGTCCCCTTCATGGGCTATTACGAGGTTCTTCTCATGAGATACTATGGCTTCATAGAGCACAGTAGGGTCATCATATTCATCTGGAGAAGTAAAATGATCCTAAATACAAAAATAATATATAAATTTTTAAAGGAAAATAAAAGAACTGATAACTTCTACAGTTACTAAGTGAAAGTTCTTAAAAACTGGTTTATTATGAATATTTCAACACATGTTAATATTATTAGAGATAAATTATAGATTCTCAGTCATAACTGGGTTAGGAAGTAGCTCATTACTGCTATACTATTTTTGTAAATTCCTCAATCCAACCCTCTCCTCTAAGTTCTAGATGAATAAACATCATTTCTGGTTTTTATGTGTTTTGTTTTTCTCTTTCAAGTTGGTTTTTCATATCTTTATTCATGTTTTTTTTTCTGTTGAAGGATTACGTCACTATTAGGTAAGGAAGGCTAAAACTACATAAAAGGTCTCTATATTGTGTTTCTTCTTAACTAGATACTTTTCACATAAAGTCGTATCTCTAAAATGGGTTCTAATATATCACTTTATCCTGCCTCTCACCTAGTTAAGATACAGCTCAAAGCTAGCAGCTCTGAGCACAGATTTGGGGTCCTAGTCCTAGAGAAGTTGGTAAAGTTTTCTCTGAAAAGTATCTTGGTCTTAATAACTACTTATTCATTTGATAGTTATTCAGTATCTACCATGTACAAGACTGTCTGGCAGGCAGCATGGATAAAACAAAGAAGATATGAAATGTATCTCCCTATTACAAACCTACACATTAACAGGGACAGGACATATACTGAAATAACTGTAACACAAATCTGCAGTTTTGAAATGGTATATTAAAGAAATGTAAATATGATAGGCTGCTTTCATATTTATAGTTGGGAGGCTGACAAATTTCTGTATCCCAGTAAAGTAATCCATTTGCACTCAAGTCAACTGACCAGAATTTGTGCTATGTGAAAGGAGAAGAGGGAGAGTAAGAAGGAATATCCTTAAGGATAGAGCCTGTTAGCTGGGGGGTTGAGATATGTGAGATAATACTGTATACATAAATAATGCTTCATAATGTAAAATGTTCTACATTATTTCACTGGAATTTTACAACAATCTTGTCAAGTAGGTTGAGTTGATAATACCTGCATTTTCCATGTTTAAAAACTGAAGCTTAAAGAGGCTTAATTGCTTCCTAAGTGTAGGAAGTTAGTAAATGCCAGGCAGAAGATTTTGGACCTCGAAGACTGGTATTCTGGAATAACTCAGTCAGACAAAATAAAGAAAAAAGAATAAAAGAAATGAAGAGAGTCTTTGAGGAATACGGGATTATGTAAAGCAACCAAACTTACCAATTAATGACATTCCTGAGAGAGGAGGTGGAAAAGTAAACAACCTGAAAAACATATTTGAGGGAATAACTCAAGAGCATTTCCCTAATCTTGCTAGAAAGGTGGACATCCAGATACAAGAAATCTGAGAACAGCTGTGAGATACTATACAAAATGAACATCACCAGGCATACAGTCACCAGGGTGTCCAAGGTCAACACTAAAGAAAAATTCTTAAAGGCAGCTAGAGAAAAAGGTCAGATCACATAAAAAGGGAACCCCATCAGGTTAATAGTAAACTTCTCAGAAGAAACTTTATAAGCCAGAAGGGATTGGGGCCTGTTTTCAGCATTCTTAAAGAAATTCCAACCAAGAATTTCATATCCTGCCAAACTAAGCTTCATAAGTGAAAGAGAAATAAAATCTTTTCCAGACAAGCAAGTGCTAAGGAAGTTTGTTACCACTTAACCAGCCTTATAAGAGATCCTTAAGGGAGTTCTAAACATGGAAACAAAAAAATAATACCTGCTACCACAAAAACACACTTAAGAACACAGCCCACAGACCCTATAAAGCAACCATACAGTAGAACTACGAAGCAACCATTCATGATACATGATAGGACCTTCATGATAGGACCAACAACTTCCTAATAGGACCAAAACCTCACATATCAATATTAACCTTGAATGTAAATGGTCTAAACACCCCACTTAAAAGACACAGAGTTGCAAGGTAGATTAAAAAAAAAAGATCCATTTGTCTGGTCTCTTCAAGAGACCCATCTCACATGCAATGACACTCATAGGTGCAAAGTAAAGGGCTGGAGAAAGATTTATCATGCAAACAAACAAAAAGAGCAGGGGTCACTATTCCTATATCAGATAAAATAGACTTTAACAACAGTAAAAATGGAAACAAAAGGTCATTACCTAATGATAGAAAGTTCAATTTAACAAGAAGACATAACTATCCTACATATATATGCACCCAACATTGGAGCACCCAGATTCATAAAACAAGGTTTTACTGGCCTACAAAAAGACTTAGCCACATAGTAATAGTACGGGACTTCAATACCCCACTGACAGTGTTAGATCACTGAGGCAAAAAACTAACAAAGAAACTCTGGACTTAAGTTTGACACTTGGCCAATTGGATCTAATAGACACCTACAGAATACTCCACCCATCAACCACAGACTATACATTATTTTTATCTGCACACAGAACATACCCTATGATCGACCACATGCCTGGCCATAAAGCAAGTTTCAATAAATTAAAAAATCAAAATAGGCCGGGCGTGGTGGCTCACGCCTGTAATCCCAGGACTTTGGGAAGCCAAGGCAGGTGGATCACGAGGTCAGGAGATCGAGACCATCCTGGCTAACACGGTGAAACCCCGTCTCTACTAAAAATACAAAAAATTAGCCAGACGTGGTGGCGGGCGCCTGCAGTCCCAGCTAATCGGGAGGCTGAGGCAGGAGAATGGCAGGAAACCAGGAGGCCAAGCTTGCAGTGAGCCGAGATCACGCCACTGCACTCCAGCCTGGGCAACAAAGTGAGACTCCGTCTCAAAAAAAAAAAAAAAAATCAAAATAATAGTAACCATACTCTTGGACCACAGTGGAATAAAAATGGAAATCAATACCAAGAAGATCTCTGAAAACCACACAATTACATGGGAATTAAACAACTTTCTTGTGAATGACTTTTGCGTAAAGAAATGAAGTTAAAGCAGAAATAAAAAAATTATTTGAAATAAATGAAAACAGAGATACAACATGCCAAAATCTCCAGGATGCAGCATCTATGACAAACCCACAGCCCTCATACTGAATGGGGAAAAGCTGGAAGCATCCCCCTTGAGAACCAGAACAAAACAAGGATGTCCACTCTCACCACTCCTATTCAACACAGTACCAGAAATCCTAGCCACAGCAATCAGGCAGCGGGGAAAAAAAGGCATCCAAATCGGAAAAGAAGTCAAAGTATCTCTCTTTGCTGCTGATATGATTCTATACCTAGGGAACCCAGAAGACTCTGCCAAAAAGCTCCTGGAACTGATAAATGACTTCAAGTTTCAGCATACAAAATCAGCATACTAAAATCAGTAGCATTTCTATTAACCAATAATATTCAAGCCGAAAACCAAATCAATAATGCAATCCCATCTACAATGTTCTCTCTCTCTCTCTCACACACACACACACACACACACACACACACACACACACACACACGAATACATCTAACCAAGGAGGCCAAAGATCTCTACAAAGAGAACTACAAAACACTGCTGAAGGAAATCAGACATGACACAAATGGAAAAACATTCCATGCTTATGGACTGGATGAATCAATACTGTTAAAACAGCCATACTGCCCAAGGCAATCTACAGCTTCGATGCCATTCCTATCAAGCTACCAATGTATTTTTTCACAGAATTAGAAAAAACTCCTAAAATTTTATAGAAGCAAAAAAAGAGCCTGAACAGCCAAAACAATTATAAGTAAAAAGAACAAAGCCAGAGGAATCACATTACCTGACTTCAAATTATAAGGCTACAGTGACCAAAATAGCACGGTACTGGTAAAAGACAGACATACAGACCAATGGAACAGAATGAAGAACCCAGAAATAAAGCTGTACACCTACAGCCATCTGAGCTTCAACAAAGTTGTCAAAAAATACACAATGGAGAAAGGACTCCCTATTCAATAAATGGTGCTAGGGTAGCTGGCTAGCCATATGCAGAAGAATGAAACCAGACTCCTATCTTTCACCATATACAAATATTAACTCAAGATGGAATGGATTAAAGATTTAAATGTAAGACCTTAAAATATAAGAATCCTAGAAGAAAATCTAGGAAACACCATGTTGGACATCAGCCTTGGGAAATAATTTATGACTAAGTCCTAAAAGCAATTGCAACAAAACCAAAAACTGACAAGTGAGACCTAATTAAACTGAAGAGCTTCTACACAGGAAAAGAAGTTGTGAACAGAGTAAACTGACAACCTACAGGATGGGAGAAACTATTCACAAACTATGCATCCAACAAAGGTCTAGTACCCAGAATCTATAACTTAATTCAATAAGCAAAAAACAACCCCATTAAAAAGTGGGCAAAAGATAAGAACAGATGCTCCTCAAAATAAGACATACAAGGAGCAAACAAGTGTGAAAAAATGCTCAACAACACGAATCATCAAAGAAATCCAAATCAGAACCACCATCTCACACCAGTCAGAATTACTATTATTAAAAAGTCAAAAAACAAGAGATGCTGGCAAAGCTGAGGAGAAAAGGGAATGCTTATACACTGTTGAAATGCAAGTTAGTTCAGTCACTGTGGAAAGCAGTTGGAGATTTCTCAAAGAAACAGAACTACCATTTGACCTACCAATCCCATTACTAGGTATAAATCCAAAAGAAAATAAATTGTTCTACCAAAAATACACATACATTCTTACGTTCATTGCAACACTATCAACAATAGCAAAGATGCAGAATCAATCTAGGTGCCCATCAATGGTAAATTGGATAAAGGAAATGAGGTACGTATACACCATGGAATACTACGCAGCCATAAAAAAGAATCAAGTCACTTCCTTTTGCAGCAATATGGCTGTGGATAGAGGCCATTATCCTAAGCAAATTAGGATAATTCTTAGAAGGCTCCTCTCTTCTAGGAATTGCCTTTAGCTAATGGAGCTGCCTGGGTAGGAGATGCCGGTGCGGGGTGGGGAGGAGGAGGGAGGTACATCCTTCTCTGTATGGGGTGAGAAGTAAGGAAGTATACAGCATAACTTTTGGAGATACTGCTAACTCCACAGCTTCTTCTAGAACCCAGCTAAGGCTAGAATTCAGCTAAAACACATTTTACTGAGCTACTTCCCTTTTTCCATCTGCCTTCTAACACTTCTTTACAACATTTCTTGAGTGCAACCCTCAATTGATTAATTCACAAGAATCTTGGACTCTAACCTGTTTCTAGACCACTTGATCTAAGATAGCATTCATAATATACTGATAAGCAGTTCTTAACTTCTGTATATCATACACCAACTCTCCTAATTTTTCTTTTAAATACTGCGTTCACATTTTCCTATACAAGCAGAGAGCCAGATGCCATATGATGTGCTATCTTTTAGAAAATAGTTCTATTAGGAAAGGAATGCCATCTTTGTAGAGTAGTATTTTTACAATTACTTGAATGAAAAATAAAAGTCCAGATACAGGCATAGTAATTTATTTTTCTACCTTTTAATTTTTGAGACAGGATCTCACTTTGTCACCCAAGCTGGAGTGCAGTGGTGTGATTATAGCTCACTGCAACCTTGACCTCCTTTGCTCAAGCAATCCTCTCACCTTAGCCTCCTAAGTACAGGCACACGCCCCCATGCCCAGCTCATTTTTTTTTTCTTTTGAGACAGAGTCTAGCTCTGTCTCCAGGCTGGAGTTCAGTGGCACAATCTCAGCTCACTGCAACCTCTGCCTCCCAAGTTCAAGTGATTCTCCTGCCTCAGCCTCCCAAGTAGCTGGGATTACAGGCACACACTGCCACGTCCAGCTAATTATTGTATTTTTAGTAGAGATCAGGTTTCACCTTGTTGGCCAGGATGGTCTCGATCTCCTGACCTCGTGATCCGCCCATCTCAGCCTCCCAAAGTGTTGGGATTATAGGCGTGAGCCACTGCACCCGGCCCATCTAATGTTTTAAAAAATTTTTTGTAGAGACAGGGTCTTGCTATGTTGCCCAGGGTGACCTCAAACACCTGAGCTCAAGCGATCCTCCTGCCTCGGCCTCCCAAAGTGCTGGGATTACAGGCACAAGCTACTACGCCTGGCCAATAATCATATTCTTAAGAAAATGAACAAAAAGCTGGAAATTATCAGGCATGCCCAAAGTGGAAAATGTTTCATCTTGTTTAAATATCTCTTTTCACTGGCTTTAAAATGGTTGAATAAATATGTAAAGTTCTACATACATTGAAAACTGTGAGGTGCCTCTGTATGTGGTGATTTGGAAAGATGTCCATGTCATATTAAATGAAAAAAAATAGCATGTTACAATTAATTCATATAGCAAAATTACATTTTTAAAAAGGAGCATATCACACACATAGATGAAAATGTATGTGCTTAGAAGAAATCACAAAAGATATATCAAATTACTGGCAACGATTGGTTTTTGGGGATACTATACAATAATGTGGAGTGATGGAAAGATGTTTATTATTGAGCAATGTTTAATTTTTAAGAATATTCAAGAGATGTTATCAGTTTTAATGGTAAAAGTTTTCAAAAGAATTTTAGAAATATACTTGAGATGCTACAAGCAGATGCACAGGATACACTATTTTTTTAGAACAATGAAACTCATTCATTAAACAAACATTTACAGTCCACTGTACCAAACAAGGAGAACATAAAAATTAATATGAAATTATTCCTTCCTCAAGGATATCACAGACTGTAAAATTTTCAGCACATATCATATGTAAACTCATTTGGATTTTGATTGGTTTATTTTAGTTCTAATAACTATGTAATCCTCAAAGAGTACTAATAAAGGAAAATAAATAAGGAGGAAAGATATTTTACAAAAGCAATTAAATAGAGGACAAGAGAACAGATGAAAAAAGCAATTTGCTTCATCTGAGTTTTGGTTAATCTTCTACAAAATTGGGATTAAAATAACTTTCTGGGTCGTGGTGATCTAATGCATATGAAAGTACTGTGTACATGTAGGACAATATGCAATAGTAAATACTGCACAGATCATAACAGTTTCTTATTGGGGTTTTTTTTAGAGACAAGGTCTTGGTCTGTCGCTCAGGCTGGAGTGCAGTGATGCAATCATAGCTCACTGTAACCTCAAACTCTTGGACTCAAATGATCCCCCGTCTCAGCTTCCCAAGTAGCTGGGACTAAAGGCATGCGATACCTTGCCTGGCTAATATTTCTGTTTCTTTTTCGCAGAGATGCAGTCCTACTATGTTGACCAGGCAGGTCTCAAACTCCTGGACTCTAGAGATCCTCCCACCTTGGCCTCCCAACGGTGCTGGGATTACAGGCGTGAGGCATCACGTCCAACGTAACAGTTTTAATTACCAAAAAGTAAGCACATGTAATCCATAAGGTTGGAGGGGGTGGGGAAAGAACTATAAAGAAAAAAGTTCAAAAACACCTATGAAGTACTAAAAGTACATCATCAAAGACTATGTCTGAAAGGCAAAGGTTAATAGAAATTTTATATTTTCAGCTCTCTGGAAACAGAATCTTCTTAAAAGTCAAGTTTGAAATATGATTTACAACAAAATGCACCCATTTTAAGTGTACAGTTAGATGCATCTTGACAAATGTGCATACCCAGGTAACCACTACTGCAATCTAGATATAGAGCATTTCCATCACCTCAAAAAGTTCCTTCCTGCCTCTGGCATTTACTCTCTAAACTTCAAGTAACCACTGATCTACTGTTTGTTATCAGTTTCTTTTTATTGCTGAGTAATATTCTGTTGTGTGGATATACCATAATTTGTATGCCTGTCTGCTAACGGACATTTGAGTAGTTTCCAGTTGGAGGTTATTATCAATAAAAACACTGTAAACATTTGTGTTTAAGTCTTTATGTAGACATATAGAGTTGACCCTGGAATAATGCAGGGGTTGGGGTGCCTATCCCTATGCACTCTAAAATCCATGAATAACCTTTGACTCCCCCAAAAATGTTAAATACAAATACCTTACTGTTGACTAGAAGCCTTACTAATAACATAGTCAATTAACACATATTTTGTATTTTATACATATTATATACTGTATTCTTATAATAATGTAAGCTAGAGAAAAGAAAATATTAAGAAAATCATAAGGAAGAGAAAATATATTTACTGTTCATTAAGTAGAAGTGGATCATCATAAAGGTCTTCATCTTTGTCATCTCACATTTGGAACAGGCTGAGAAGGAGGAAGAGGAGGGGTTGGTCTTGCAGTCTCAGAGGTGGAGGAGGTGGAAGGAGAGGGAAGAGAAGCAGGCACACTTGGTTTAACTTTACCAAAAAACATTGTACTTTTCTGACATTTTTCCTTTTTCATTTCTTTAAGAATGTTTCCATATAGTACCAATTCTTCTTCTACCTTATGCTTTAGTTTTAGTGCCCATATCACAGAAGGGTCCATACTGTAAAAGAAGTCAAAATCAGTCTTGAATAATCCCAATCACTCTGCCAGACTGTGTAAAGTCAACTTGTTTTCTGGCACTGCTTCCTTGTCTTCCTCATCATGTGGCGCTGGTTTGGAAGCACTCATCTCCATCAAGTTATCTTCTGTTAATACTTCTAGTGTGGTGCTTAATACCTCTTGAATTTGTCCAAGAGCCACACCTTGTAATCCTTCATCACCCTTTTTTTTTTTTTGCCATATCCACAATCTCATGATTTCCTTGATTAGCTCTGTCATAAATCCTGTGAAGTCATGTGCAACATCTGGAGTTTTCTCCAGCAGAAATTTATTATTTTGTATTTGATGGCTTTCATGGCTTTTTCTGTAACAACAAGGGCATCTTCAATGGTGTAATCTTTCTAGACTTTCATGATGTTCTATCAGGGTTCTCTTCCATAGCACTGACAATCCTTTCCATTGAGTACCATGTATAATGAGTCTTAAAGGTCTTTATCGTACCCTGATCTGGAGGCTGAATTAGAGATGTTATCTGGAGGCAAGCAGACCACCTCCATGCCTTCAGTGTTGAACTCATGAGGTTCTGGGTGGCCACAGGCATTGTCCAATATCAAAAGAACTTTAAAAGAAGGTCCTTTACTGGCAAGGTACTTCCTGACTTCAGGGACAAAGCATTGGTGGAACCAAACCAGGAAGAGTTCTCTTTGTCTAGGCCTTCTTGTTGTACAATCAAAATAGCAGTTGGTGTTTATCTTTTCCCCTCAAGGCTTAGGGGTCAGCGGCTTTATAGGTAAAGACAGTCCCGATCATAAACCCCTCTCTGCATTTGCACAAAACAGTAAACTTAGCTTACCCATCCCTGCCTTAAATTTTGGTGCTTGGTGCTCTTCCTTACTAAAAAAATGTCCTTTGTGGCTTCCCCACCCCCAACCCCCGCTGCAGAATAGAGCACTTTCACCTGCATTAAAGATCTGTTCAGGCAGATAACCTTTTTCCTCAATGATTTTCTTAATGGCATCTGGGAACTTGTCTGCTGCCTTTTGGTTGGCAGAAGCTGCTTCTCCTGTTATCTTGACATTTTTAAAGCCAAAGCTCTTTCTAAAATTATCAAGCCATCCTTTGCTGGCATTAAATTCTCCAGCTTTAGGTCCTTCACCTTCCTTATGCTTTAAGCTGCCATATAATGATGTCGCTTTTTCTTGAATAACATTAGTGTTCATAGGTATGCCTTTCTTACAGCAATCCTGCATCCAACATAAAAGCTATTATTTTCAACATGAGATGAAAAGGTATTTTGTAAAATGCGCAAGGTTTTCCACCTGCTGGTGTAGTAACAGTGGAAGCTTCACGAATTTTCTTTTTTTCCACACTTGTCCTTAAGATGGATTCACTTATCTCGGAATGGTGGGCAACCACAGTTGCAAACCTCAATCTACGGCACATATCAAGCAACTCAACCTTTCCTTTTAATGTCATGACTTTTCTCTGTTTCGTGGGGCCCTTTCAGCATCACTAGTGGCACTTTGTATGGGTCCCATGGTGTTATTTAAGGTTTATGGTACTGCACTAAACACAATGAGAAATACACAAGAACTGCAACAGATCACTTTTTATTGAAATACACAATTTACTGGAAAGGCGAACTGCTCACACAGAGATGATTAGTGCCACACGGCGTTTTAAGCATACTCCCAACATTTGAGCTCACTGCAATAGCAACAGAAGGTGACTACGAAATTACTGTAGTATATAATATTAATATGTACCACAGTTGACTTTATGTAGTTATGATTTAATACTGCATCTTTGTTTGTTTACATTTCTTTCAACTGCAGATGTTGCCATGTATAGTCTGTGTTTTTGTAAGTTTTGATAAATTTTAACTTTTTATAATAGATTTCTGTGTGTTTTATGGTAGCAAATAATAAAATAAACTAGTATCTATGTATATTTTATGCATTCATGACATACCTAAGTTTGTCTTATTTTATTGGTATTTCTAGGCTTTCTAGTTCATCTTTTTCAAATTGTTGCAAATTTCCAAAAAAGTTTCCAATACATTTACTGAGAAAATCTGTGTATAAATGTAGCTATGCAGTTCAAACCTGTGTTGTTCAAGAATCAATTGTACTTTAATTCTGTTGTATAAACATCTAGAAGTAGAATTGTTGGGTTGTAAGGTAGATGCATATATCCTTTCTTTTAGTATATAAGCCTATTGTCCACTTTTATGGATTTTCATGAGCACATGAACTTTGGCAATGGTGAGTACTGATTTACACACCTAGATTTTCCTGCCTGAGAGATCCTCATAGACAACCTAATGTCTTGCTCAAAGTGACGATCAATATATGGCTGTTGTTTGTGACTTTATAGGTCAATCTCCACCCTCCTAGAAGGTATATCAGAATTAAGGAACTTCTCCAGGTTGCATTACATTCTCCACTTCCTCTCCTCCCCTCAGCCCTCCATGGCTTCTTGGTTCCAATTCTACATTCTCACCTCCCTGTTTATAAATGTTGTCAGTCCAGGCTAATGATGGGAGTGTGCTATATCCAAGTGTGTTGGGCCAGAATATAAAGTAAAGAATCACTGATATCGGCAATAATGCCACAGCCAAAGGAATATTTAAGGAAAGAGACCTGGCAGCAACAGGCAAGAGAGTCCTGTAAGGAGAGACTAGGGGCAGGCACCCAAGGCATCAGAGGCTTTAATTCTGTGCTCAGTTTCATCTCGGACAAGCTGAGATAAAATATCTGTGATAACATTTAGAATTAATTGAAGAAGTTTGTCAGAAGCTATTAGAAAATTATGCTATATGAAAGAGAATATTTCTTATAAAGCAGATACATAGTTGGTACCTTTCCAGAAATGTCTAAGTTTTAAAAACATTTTAATCTGAAGAATTACCTTTTTTTGAAATGCACTGAATTTTGTCTCAAAACTCTAAAACTAGTCTGAAGATGGACAATTCTATTTGATCCCAAATTAATATTTCCCCAGGGCAACATCCTCAAATAGTATTCCATTTTTCACAGAGATTTTCAAATAATGTGTCCTTTATTAGTCATGTTCCTAAAGAATGTGAGGTTTTTAACTTAATTCCCACACTTTAGATTATACTATAATGACTTGAAGAGTAAGTCACCTTTTATTTGGGGGCAAAAGATTCAATTAGATTTGAGCACTGCAGATACACTTTAATGAGTCTTATCACAGGGTCTCTATCATCAGATCTGATAACTACTGTCCAGTGGAATGGAGGAACAAGTGCCAGTACTTAATTTCACAATATATTCTTGCAATCATCTAGGGCTTTAGAAATGCATTGTGGGGCCTCACTTTAATGTTATTACCCTACTAAGATATTTAGCTAAGCCTAAGTCTGTCCTAACCACCTATTATTCTATGTAACACATGGAATGAAATTCATCATTCAGTAACAGCAGCACTTGTAACATTCCTGAAGTGTTACCACACTATATTTAGAGTTGGCTAATATTCATACAGGGAATAGGCAGGAATTGCAATAATATGAAGTCAAAATAAGTATTATGGGGGCCATGGACCTTTACTTACAGCTTGTAAATAATTTTTCTTTTTCTTCACATTTCATGCCTGTATCAGTCACTCTCTAATGTTAATATTCAAATTTACTATTAGAAACATAGGTTCAGGTTTTAAAGATTTAATATATCTTGTCATGAAGTCACATTTTTCTTTTATTCAGATCAGAATATTTCTCAAAAGGTTCCTAAGAAACATAACTTGGAAGCTCATATGGTGTGGTTGTGTCCTCACCCAAATCTCATCTTGAATTATAGTTCCCATAATCCCCACGTGTCCTGGAAGGGAACTGGTGGGAGGTAATTGAATCATGAGAGCAGTTACCCCCATGCTGCTGTTCTCATGATAGCGAGTGAGTTCTCATGAGATCTGATGGCTTTATAAGGGGTTCTCCCCCTTTTGCTTGGCACTTCTCCTTGTTGCCACCATATGAAGAAGGATGTGTTTGCCTCCCCTTCCGCCATGACTGTAAGTTTCCTGAGGCCTCCCCACCCCTGTGGAACTGTGAGTCAATTAAACCTCTTTCCTTTATAAATTACCCAGTCTCGGGTATTCCTTACAGCAGCGTGAGAATGGACTAATATTGAAATCATGTGAAGAAGGATCAGTAAACACCAGTAATGAATTAGAAAAATCTCATCTTCTTACCTGATGAAGTTTAATGGACATACGGATCCCAGGGACTACTACTTTTCTTAGCAATTCCATGTCAGCAAAGATCCATTCATCTCGAATTGAAGAAATACGGAAATCTCCTTTAAATAGGGCATGCAATCCATAGAGGAATGACTCTAAATTACTGTTAAGATTGGAGATAAAAGTTCACATGTTTTGACAAAGGTCTTCCATGACACTGATTCTTACATCTGCGTGTGCATCAGAATCACCTGGGAGTGTTTTGAAAATACAGATTCCAGGAACTAATGTCAGAACCCTGAACCAGAATCACAAGAGACAGGGCCTGTCCGACCTGGGACCCTTATTTATAAACCACTGTAATAGTGAGTCCATGAAAATAAACAACAGGCAAAGAGCCTATAAGTTAAAATAAACTAAGAAAAGCTTAACGGAAAACATGTAGTTATCACAGAAAAAAATTTAAAATATGTGGTATTTCTTAATTCTGATTCATTTGGATGTATATGTTAGGAAATTCAGTTTAGATTTAGAATCCCCGAATCTAATATATTACTATATTAGAAGTATAAATACCCTGGACAAAGACTGCAAGGAAATATGGAAAATGAATTTATTAGAAAAATAGATGTAAACAGGAGGAGGCCAATCAAAATTCATGGGGTGGTTGTATTTTAAAATGTCTTAAATTCATTATATTCTCATTATCAGTGGCTACCCACACGTGTGAATTTTAAAAACCAGTTCTGTTAACCAGTTAAGACAGCTCACCTATGTTCAAGAAGATGATGTATAGAAATATAAAACCTAAAAAGACTTTACAATAAATTAGCATAGAATACATGCGTCCATGAAAAATCATTTTAGATTTAGGCTATACAGCTTCCCATGCTCTCTTCCTCAGAACAGAAATGCCTTCTTTACCTGGACATATGATGGGATGCAGTCCCCAAAGCTCTCCGTCCCAGAACACAGAGTCCATAACAGAGAGTCACTAGGGATGAATCTTTGTCCACATCCACAGGCTTTAAAAAAACAAAAAACATTAGTTATCAGAAAGGTATGTAAGTATTTAACAAATCATAAATCGAAATAATATAGCGAAATGATAAAGAATTCAAAGAGTACATAATTTCTATCTCCTCAAAATAAACTTAATAAAACTGTATGAAATGAAGCATGAATGTGTATGGGGAGTTTCTTTGGAATCCTTAAATAAAATCTAAAATTTCATAATAACGGAACAAAATAAAACAAAAAAAACTGACTCTATTATAAAATATTAGGATTTTAGCTAAAGATTTTAAAGTACTTACTGAGATTACTGATATTACCCTCTCTTGAAAATACAATATTTCTATCTATTAGCTACTTCTTTCTTTTTTTTTTATTAACTACTTATTTTTGACCATAACTTGACAAGCAGGCTATCAGTGGCAGGTGAGTTAGCCTATTAGTGACTATAAACATAGTGAAAATCAAGTTGATATTCATAAAATATTGTTTCCCCTCAACCTTTTTATTTTTTAACAATTACATGCCTTACAATTGAAAGAAGCTGCTAAGTCTCCTCTGTTTCTCCCTCTAAGAAAGCCCAAATAATAATCACTGATTACCTTATATAATACTAAAGAAAATCTTGGTAGCATCTCAGTTACCAAAAAATAATCCAGGGCAGTGCTTCTCAAAGTATAGTCCTAAGACCAGCAGTATCAACATCACCTGGAAACTTGTTAGAAATGCAAATCTCTGGCCACTCCAGATCTCTGAAATCAAATTCTGGAGGTGGGGTCAAGCAATCACTCTCCAGGTGATTCTAATACATGCTAAAGGTGAAGAATCAATGATACAGGCTAATAATTAGCTTAATTATTCTAACTTTGCCAATGGTATTTATTTTTGGCTTTATAAACCATTAACTTATAAATACAATAGGGGAACAGTCTAAGATATTAACTTACTATTGATAGGTTAATTATCATTAACTTGATAATTTAGTTAATGGCGACTGTGTTAGAGATATCCTAGTTGCTTGCCAATTAGATTGTTTCTAAAGACATATTACCTCTTACAGCACGTACTCTAGTTTCATCAAGTAGGCATTTTGAAAAAAAATTTGGGTCCAGGTTACAAAACAGTAAATAAAGAGTATGAGAGCACTAGTTTAAAGAAATACAAAAGAAAAATAAAAGAGAGTGGGTGTAGACTTGAAGTTGTATAAAGAAAAAATACTAAAGGTAGTTACAACGGGTGATAAAATGACGGGTGATCTTCATTCTTTTTTTCTTTTTCTCTACCTCCCTTCCCCTGTCAACTTTCTAGACTAAAAATGTATTGTTTCTGTGATGAGAAATTTTTTTTTTTAATTCAGATTTACCTCAGCCAAGATGATTCAATAGAGACCATATTTACCCCCCTAGCTGAAACAGCCAAAGACTGGGCAGAATACATGACACAACAGTTTTTAGACACTGGACACCGGTCCCTGAGAGACAGGAAACAAATGAGGTAGCCCTACAACTGACTGAGCTTATTACCTAGAGAGTTTCCAGACCACAGCACAAGAAAGGGGAGCACAAATTGAGACAGAGGCCTCTGAGCCAGCTGGAGCTCACAGGGCAGAGTGCTAGAGAGAGCTACTGAGAGAGGGAGGCGAGGGAACTCGGAGATCTACGGCAACAGCACACACGCAAAGAGGACCCTAGGCTGAGAAAAGAATCATCCGAATGGAATACAAAGGAACAGCGAAAAACCTTGGGACTGGCTAGAACACTCAGGATGGCATTGTCTTGGTCATGGGGAAGAATTAGCCCCAGACTAACAGCTGCTCTGGTCCCTCCAAAGCAAGCCCTGAAAGGATCAAACTGTCCCCAAAGAATTTAACTGTGTCACAAAACAAAGTTCAAGAATTATTTACAGGAATACAGAAATATCCAGCACCCTTCAGAGTAAAATTCATAAAGACTGGCATCTAATAAAAAATTGACAGGCATGCAAGTAGCAGGAAAATAGGACCCATAATAACAATCAATTAACCACTCAATCAAAACTGACCCACAACTGACATTGATGTTAGGCTTAACCCACAAGGATATTAAAACAACTATTTTAACTATATTCCATAAGCTCAAGAAGGCAGAGGAATGACTGAGCATGTTGAATGAGACATGGAAGATTTGTAGAAAAGACCCAAATCAAACTTCTAGAGACACAAAATGAAGCAATGTCTGAGATAAAAAATATACTGAATGGGATTACTGGTATATTAATTCAGAAGAAAAGATAAATGATCTCAAAAACTTAGCAAGAGAAACTATGCAAAATGAAATACAGAGAGAAAAAAGACTGAAAATAAATGAACAGGGCGTCAGGGAGCTGTAGGACAATCAAGCAGCCTAATACAAATATAATTGGAGTTCCTGCAAAAGGCGTAGAGGAAAACAGAAAAAACTATTTTTAATAATGGTGGAAGGAGAGTCTTGGAGTAATCCAGAATAACTACTCTGATCCTTATTGATAAGGAAAACAGAGAACCAGGCACCTGTGTGGCTCCTAAGGATGGGCTGAAGCTGGGGTCTGGGCCTTATGACTGAGAAGACTGTTAAAGCTAAAACCACCTTTATTCCTGCCTCGATGACACCTATCCAAAAGTAGAAAAATGCTCCCCTTTTAATCCTATAGACTTTTTAATCCTATAGACTTTGAGAATTTTGACCTGTCTGAGGAGCATCAGATTGCATACCTCCCCTCGAATGGCGTGCCTCTCATGGTTCTGGATGGGAGAGAGAACTGGAAAAGCTGTTACAGCTGGGGTCCCCCCTCCACCATAGGAATCCAATTTGATGCAGTCTCCTTTGATCATTCTGTCGATCCTGAATGTTTGCTTATGACACAGATATTTATATTTCTTAGTCCTTTATAGTTTGTGTTTGTATTAATAAAGCATGTCTTTAATAGATTTTTTTAAATCATGAAAAGTTTCCAAATCTGAAAAAAATTATGTACTTACAGATTGAAGAATCTCAATGAACTTCAAGAACAAGAAACAGGTGGCTGGCAAGATGGCCGAACATGAACAGCTCCGGTCTACAGCTCCCAGCAACATCAAGGCAGAAAGCAGGTGATTTCTGCATTTCCAACTGAAGTACCCGGCTCATCGCATTGGGACTGGTTAGACAGTAGGTGCAGCCCACAGAGGGCAAGCCGAAGCAGGGTGGGGCGTTGCCTCACTTGGGAAGCACAAGAGGTCGGGGAACTTGCTCCCCTAGCCAAGGGAAGCTGTGATGGACCGTGCCGTGAGGAACAGTGCATTCTGGCCCAGATACTATGCTTTTCCCACGGTCTTCACAACCCACAGACCAAGAGATTCCCTCGCGTGCCTATACCACCAGGGCCCTGGGTTTCAAGCACAAAACTGGGCAGCCATTTGGGCAGACACCGAGCTAACTGCCAGAGTTTTCATACCCCAGTGGCGCCTGGAATGCCAGCGAGACAGAACTGTTCACTCCCCTGGAAAGGGGGCTGAAGCCAGGGAGCCAAGTGGTCTAGCTCAGTGGATCCCACCCCTACGGAGCCCAGCAAGCTAAGATCTACTGGCTTGAAATTCTTGCTGCCAGCACAGCAGTCTGAAGTTGACCTGGGATGCTCAAGCTTGGTGGGGGAAGGGGCATCTGCCATTACTGAGGCTTCAGTAGGCGGTTTTCCCCTCACAGTGTAAGCAAAGCTGCCAGGAAGTTTGAACCAGGCAGAGCCCACCACAGCTCAGCAAAGCCACTGTAGCCAGACTGCCTCTCTGGATTCCTCCTCTCTGGGCAGGGCATCTCTGAAAGGCAGCAGCCCCAGTCAGCGGCTTATAGATAAAACTCCCATCTCCCTGGGACAGAGCACCTGGGGGAAGGGGTGGCTGTGGGCACAGCTTCAGCAGACTTAAATGTTGCTGCCTGCTGGCTCTGAAGAGAGCAGCGGATCTCCCAGCACAGCACTTGAGCTCTGCTAAGGGACAGACTGCCTCCTCAAGTGGGTCCCTGACCCCTGTGCATCCTGACTGGGAGACGCCTCCCGGGCAGGGGTCGACAGACACCTCATACAGGAGAGCTCTGACTGGCACCTGCCGGGTGCCCCTCTGGGACGAAGCTTCCAGAGAAAGGAACAGGCAGCAATCTTTGCTGTTCTGCAGCCTCCACTGGTGATACCCAGGCAAACAAGGTCTGAAGTGGACCTCCAGCAAATTCCAGCAGACCTGCAGCAGAGGGGCCTGTTAGAAGGAAAACTAACAAACAGAAAGGAATAGCATCATCATCAACCAAAAGGATGTCCACACAGAAACCCCATCTGAAGGTCACCAGCATCAAAGACCAAAGGTAGATAAATCCACGAAGATGAGGAAAAACCAGTGCAAAAAGGCCGAAAATTCCAAAAACCAGAATGCCTTTTCTCCTCCAAAGGATCACAACTCCTCGCCAGCAAGGGAACAAAACTGGATGGAGAATGAGTTTGACAAATTGACAGAAGTAGGCTTCAGAACATGGGTAATAACAAACTCCTCCAAGCTAACGGAGCATGTTCTAACCCAATGCAAGGAAGCTAAGAACCTTGAAAAAAGGTCAGAGGAATTGCTAACTAGAATAACCAGTTTAGAGAAGAACATAAATGACCTGATGGAGCTGAAAAACAGCATGAGAACTTTGTGAAGCATACAAAAGTATCAATAGCCAAATCGATCAAGCAGGAGAAAGGATATCAGAGATTGAAGATCAACTTAATGAAATAAAGCATGAAGACAAGATGAGAGAAAAAAGAATGAAAAGGAACGAACAAAGCCTCCAAGAAATATGGGACTATGTGAAAAGACCAAACCTACATTTGATTGGTGTACCTGAAAGTGATGCAGAGAATGGAATCAACTTGGAAACATTCTTCAGGATTATTACCTAGAACTTCCCCAGCCTAGCAAGACAGGCCAACATTCAGATTCAGGAAATACAGAGAACACCACAAAGGTACTCCTTAAGAAGAGCAACCCCAAGACACATAATCGTCAGATTCACCAAGGTTGAAATGAAGGAAAAAATGTTAAGGGCAGCCAGAGAGAAAGGTCGGATTACCCACAAAGGGAAGCCCATCAGACTAACAGCAGATCTCTCTGCAGAAACCGCACAAGCCAGAAGAGAGTGAGGGCCAGTATTCAACATTCTTAAAGAAAAGAATTTTCAACCCAGAATTGCATATCCAGCCAAACTAAGCTTCATAAGCTAAGGAGTAATAAAATCCTTTACAGACAAGCAAATGCTGAGAGATTTTTGTCACCACCATGCCTCCCTTACAAGAGCTCCTGAAGGAAGCACTAAATATGGAAAGGAAAAACCAGTACCAGCCACTGGTACTATAAATTTACCAAATTGTAAAGACCACTGACACTATGAAGAAACTGCATCAACTAATGGGCAAAATAACCAGCTAACATCATAATGATAGGATCAAATTCACATATAACAATATTAACCTTAAATGTAAGCAGGCTAAATGCCCCAATTAAAAGACACACACTGGCAAACTGGATAGAGCCAAGACTCATCGGTGTGCTGTATTCAGGAGATCCATCTCATGTGCAAAGACACACATAGGCTCAAAATAAAGGGATGGAGGAATATTTACCAAGTGAATGGAAAGCAAAAAAAAAGCAGGGGTTGCAATCCTAGTCTCTGATAAAACAGACTTTAAACCAACAAAGATCAAAAAAGACAAAGAAAAGCTACGGTAAAGGGATCAATGTAGCGAGAAGAGCCAACTATCCTAAATATATATACACCCAATACAGGAGCACCCAGATTCATGAAGCAAGTCCTTAGAGACCTACAAACAGACTCAGACTCCCACACAATCATAGTGGGAGATTTTAACACCCCACTGTCAATATTAGATCAGCGAGATAGAAAATTAACAAGGATATTCAGGACTTGAACTCCGCTCTGGACCAAGCAGACCTAATAGATGTCTACAGAACTCTCCACCCCAAATCAACAGAATATACATTCTTCTCAGCACCACATTGCACTTATTCTAAAACTGACCACATAATTGGAAGTAAAACACTCCTCAGCAAATGCAAGAGAACAGATATCAAAACAAACGGTCTCTCAGACCACAGTGCAATCAAATTAGAACTCAGGATTAAGAAAATCACTCAAAACCGCACAACAACACGGAAACTGAAAAACCTGCCCCTGAATGACTATTGGGTAAATAATGAAATCAAGGCAGAAATAAATAAGTGCTTTGAAACCAATGAGAACAAAGACACAACATACCAGAATCTCTGAGACACAGCTAAAACAGTGTTTAGAGAGAAATTTATAGCACTAAATGCCCACAGAAAAAAAGTGGGAAAGATCTAAAATCAACACCCTAACATCGCAATTAAAAGAACTAGAAAAGCAAGAGCAAACAAATTCAAAAGGTAGCAGAAGACAAGAAATAACTAAGATCAGAGCAGAACTGAAGGAGATAGAGATACAACAAAACCCTTCAAAAAATGAATCCAGGAGCTGGTTTTTTGAAAAGATCAACAAATAGACTGCTAGTTAGATTAATAAAGAAGAAAAGAGAGAAGAATCAAATAGACACAGTAAAAATGATAAAGGGGATATCACCACTGATCCCACAGAAATACAAACTACCATCAGAGAATACTATAAACACCTCTACGCAAATAAACTAGGTCTAGAAGAAATGGATAGATTTCTGGACACACACACCCTCCCAAGTATAAACCAAGAAGAAGTCGAATCCCTGAATAGATCAATAACAAGTTCTGAAATTGAGGCAGTAATTAATAGCCTACCAACCAAAAAAAGCCCGGGATCAGACGGACTGACAGCTGAATTCTACCAGAGGTACGAAGAAGAGCTGGTACCATTCCTTCTGAAACTATTCCAAACAACAGAAAAAGAGGGACTCCTCCCTAATCATTTTATGAGACCAGCATCATCTTGATACCAAAACCTGGCAGAGACACAACAAAAACAGAAAATTTCAGGCCAATATACATGATGAACATCAATGAGAAAATCCTCAATAAGATACTGGCAGACAGAATCCAGCAGCACATCAAAAAGCTTATCCACCATAATCAAGTTGGCTTCATCCCTGGGATGCAAGGCTGGTTCAACATATGCAAATCAATAAACGTAATCCATCACATAAACAGAACCAATGACAAAAACCACATGATTATCTCAATAGATGCAGAAAAGGCCTTCAATAAAATTCAACAGCCCTTCATGCTAAAAACTCTCCATAAACTAGGTACTGATGGAACCTATCTCAAAATAATAAGAGCTATTTATGACAAACCCACAGCTAATATCATACTGAATGAGCAAAAACTGGAAGCATTCCCTTTGAAAACCGGCACAAGACAAGGATGCCCTCTCTCACCACTCCTACTCAACACAGTATTGGAAGTTCTAGACAGGGCAATCAGCCAAGAGAAAGAAATAAAGGGTATTTAAATAGGAAGAGAGGAAGTCAAATTGTCTCTGTTTCCAGATGACATGACTGTATATTTAGAAAACCCCACTGTCTCAGCCCAAAATCTCCTTAAGCTGATAGGCAACTTCAGCAAAGTCTCAAGATACAAAATCAATGTGCAAAAATCACAAGCATTCCTATACAGCAATAACAGACAGAGGGCCAAATCATGAGTGAACTTCCATTCACAATTGCTACAAAGAGAATAAAATACCTAGGAATACAGCTTACAAGGATGTGAACGACCTCTTCAAGGAGAACTACAAACCACTGCTCAAGGAAATAAGAGAGGACACAAACAAATGGAAAAACATTCCATGCTCATGGATAGGAAGAATCAATATTGTGAAAATGGCCATACTACCCAAAGTAATTTACAGATTCAATGCTATCCCCATCAAGCTACCACAGACTTGCTTCTAAGAATTAGAAAAAACTACTTTAAATTTCCTATAGAATCAAAAAAGAGCCCGCATAGCCAAGACAATCCTAAGCAAAAAGAATAAAGCTGGAGGCATCACATTACCTAACTTCAAACTCTACTGCAAGGCTACAGTAATCAAAACAGCATGGTACTGGCACCAAAACAGATATATAGATCAATGGAACAGAACAGAGGCCTCAGAAATAATGCCACTCATCTACAACCATCTGATCTTTGACAAACCTGACAAAAACAAGACAATGGGGAAAGGATTCCCTATTTAATAAATGGTGCTGGGAAAACTGGCTACCCATATGCAGAAAACTGAAACTGGACCCCTTCCTTACACCTTATACAAAAATTAACTCAAGACGGATTAAAGACTTAAATGTAAGACCTAAATCCATAAAAACTCTAGAAGAAAACCTAGGCAATACCATTCAGGACATAGGCATAGGCAAAGACTTCATGACTAAAACACCAAAAGCAATGGCAACAAAAGCCAAAATTGACAAATGGGATCTAATTAAACTAAAAAGCTTCTGTACAGCAAAAGAAACTATTATCAGAGTGAACAGGCAACCTACAGAATGGGAGAAAATTTCTGCAATCTACCCATCTGACAAAGGGCTAATATCCAGAATCTACAAGGAATTTAAATTTACAAGAAAAAAAAACCCGATCCAAAAGTAGGTCAAGGATATGAACAGACACTTCTCAAAAGAAGACATTTATGTGGCTAACAAACATATGAAAAAAAGTTCATCATCAATGGTCATTAGAGAAATGCAAATCAAAACCACAATGAGATACCATCTCACTCCCGTTAGAATGGCGATCATTAAAAAGTCAGGAAACAAAAAAAAGTTACAAAGTCAGGCGATCATTAAAAAGTCAGGTGCTGGAGAGGATGTGAAGAAATAGGAATGCTTTTACACTGTTGGTAGGAGTGTAAATTAGTTCAACCATTGTGGAAGATAGAGTGGCGATTCCCCAAGGATCTAGAACCAGAAATGCCATTTGACCCAGCAATCCCATTTTGGGTATACACACAAAGGATTATAAATCATTCTACTATAAAGACACATGCACATGTATATTTATTGCAGCACTGTTCACAATAGCAAAGACTTGGAACCAATCCAAATGCCCATCAGTGATAGACTAGATAAAATGTGACACATATACAACATGGAATACTATGCAGCCATAAAAAAGGATGAGTTCATGTCCTTTGCAGGGACATGGATGAAGCTGGAAAGCATCATTCTTAGCAAACTAACACAGGGACAGAAAACCAAACACTGGATGTTCTCACTCATAAGTGGGAGTTGAACAATGAGAACACATGGACACAGGGAGGGGAACATCACACACCGGGGCCTGTCGGGGTGTAGGGGGCTATGGGAGGCATAGCTTAGGAGAAATACCTAATGTAGATGACAGGTTGATGGGTACAGCAAGCCACCATGGCATGTGTATACCCATGCCACAAACCTGCATGTTCTGCACATGTATCCCAGAACTTAAAGTATAATAATAATTAAAAAAGAAACATGAGAAAACTACACTAAGGCACATCATATTTAAATTGCTTAAAACCAGTAATAAAGAGAAAATCTTAAAAGCAGCCAGTGAAAAAAGATATTATATTGTACCTACCATTTTTTTCAGAGGAACAAAGAAAAGAATGACAGCAGACTTCTCATCAGAAACAATGCAAGCCAGAAGACAGTATAGCAACATCTTTAATTTGCTGAAAGAAAAAAATTAGTTCAAGCCTGGTAGCACTATTTTGTTACTGGTGGAGAAGGCGTGTGCCCTAGTCCCTAAATTGCATTAGAAATTCTCACCAAGAATTCTTGCTAATACTAACAACAAAGTGAAAGAAATACTTATCGTTTGAAAAGTAGGAGAAAGAAGCTGAGATGAATCTTTTCATTTTCCCATTGAAGGTAATTTTAATGCAGTTAGTTCAGGATCAATCTTACACTATCTTGAAAGGAAACTATGGAAGAAGGGTCTGAGGCAGCTTTTAAACATTCAGATGAGGGCACTACAGTTTGGAGTCAGCAAGTCTGGCCTGATTAATGTCCCCAGGAAAAGGTTATTCTGGGAATGTTGATTCAGGGAATAGCATGCAAGATCTTAAGGAGATGAAGATAATCTTGTTCAACTTAAAAGAGAAACTAGAGCAGATGGGAAGACTATATAGCTGGAAAAATACAACTGATAATTTTTTTCTAAACAGATTGTAAGAGTAGAAAACAAAACAGACCAGGATTAGTGAAATAAGCTACCTGATGAGACTGGGGATACCCAAGTTTAGAGGTAAACCTTTTGAATATATGATTTATTACCAATCAGGAGGACTTCCTTGAGCCATGTTCATGACTTCAGCAATAATCTCTAAGAGAAAGGTCCTTAAGGTAGGATGGAACCCTGTTCCTGAGTGGGTAGACTGTGAACTCCTAGCCCAAAACATCATGATTAACTCATAACAAAATAGCCAATATCATCTAAGCCAAAGAAGAGATATAGAATAACATGACTGTTCCCATTACTCTCCCCAACAAAAGTCAGTTCAAGGATTTGAGAACAGTACGCGAAGTATTTTAAGTGTATTTTATTTATGAAAAAATAAAACTATTTATTATATGTTTGGAAGAAAGAAGTTTAGCTTTGAGGTCCTCTACTTCTAGCCACTGTCTGCTGGTCTTCTGAACCTTTTGTGAGGTTATTTTATCCAACTCACTATCCCTTCTTTTAAGATATACTACTCTGCTCAGTATATACTGCACATCTAGTATAAAAGCTCAAAGGCCACTGCTCAGAAAGGAAGTACAAGATGCTCCTGTTCTTATTGATGGAGTAAAAAGAGGCTGATATGATGGCTGTCTTACTCTAAGTGGTGGCAAAGGAAGGACTAAACCAAGTGCTAAACGTGAAGATGGTCGGTATGCACCTCCTAGACCATGACGAAGGCACCAGTTGTCAAGGTAGCTCACACTGCTCCATGATAGCAGGTACATCTGTACATACGACACTGGTGGTTCAACTACACAAGGCTTTTGCTTAAAAAGCAGCAGTGGTGGTAGGAATTAGCTTTGTAATCACAGGCCTTGGCACTGCAATTCTGTTACATGGAGTCTGATCAGGGGTGTGATACTACCACAAAAATCATGAGACCTAGAAGAAAGCTGTAGTTGCTGAAGTCCCTAACTCATCTTACTTTTAGGATAAGACATGTTATCCTAATGTGTGGATTGGGAGCCACCAGAATTAAAATCACCTAGGGTGATCCCCAGCCTAGACCTAGATCAGAGTCTTGCAGGTGGGGCCCAGGAATCTGCATTTTTACAAGTTCCTATGTCTTTTTTACTCATATTAACATTTGAAAATCAATGGTCTAGATGCACACTGTCTAATATGGTAGTCACTAGCTATATGGGCTCCTAAATTTAAATCAGTTAAAATTAAATAAAATTTACAATTCGGCTTTTCAGTTGTACTAGCCACATTTCATGTGTTTCACAGCCACATGTGGCAGTGACAGCATATTTCCAACACTGCAGAAAGTCCATTAGCCAGCACTGGTCTAGACTTTCTATTTGGGACAAAGACATTTAATTATCCTTAAGTGTGGCAGACAGAGGTAGAATTTCTTAAGGACTAGATTTTGGAGGGTAATGCATGGAATGTGAATGTATGTGCATGCCTGTACATGCCCAGGATGAAGGAGGTGCTACCTGGACAGTGAGACTGGGACACTGCAAATGAAAGAAAGAGGGAGGCCACTTCCTTTAACCTGTTTTGGCAGAGCTGGTTTGGCCCAACCATAATGAACCAGTTAGGTTATCTTAACCAGAAGATCAGAAAGAGGAAGGTCTTGAAAAACTGACCTCATAAGAACTAACAGGGACATTCTTTGCATCTTTGGAAAAACCTGGATTCAAAGAGTTATAAATGAAATAAACTCTACCTTTGCTCTTCGGGAAGAGCAGTACTCTATCCAGTTGAGGTAAATCACACAGAAACTCTCCCTAGATATGCCTGCCAGTCGGTGGTCATAGTCTTCATCAATGTTTGGATTAAAGGTCGGGTCCACATCGACATAATTGCGATCAGCACACAGACGAAGTCCTTCCTGCATTGTCTCATTAGCTAGCCACTCCTCTAGCTTAGACGAGGTCGTAACATAATAAATGATACCCTAACATGAACAAGACAAAAAAAAAAGAATTCAGATTAAATTACAATTTCAATTAACTCAGATTACTCAATGAAATAAATTCCAATTATTTATAATGATAAATAGTAAAACACTTTTTAGTCTGACTAAAAAGTATTTTATTCCCCCTCAATATTCTACATATATATTTTAAGAATACTATAATAATATACCTCAGGCCTTACTGGATGAAAAAACATCTAATACTTTAAAATCACAACCATAAATTCAACAAAGCAACTTCAAAACAATTCTATTTATTTTATTTTATTATTTATTTATTTAGAGACAGAGTCTTACTCTGTCGCCCATGCTAGAGTGCGATGGCATAATCTCGGCTCACTGCAACCTCTATCTCCTGGGTTCAAGCAACTCTCATGCCTCAGCTGGGACTACAGGTGCCCGCCACCACACCCAGATAAATTTTTGTATTTTTAGTAGAGATGGGTTTTCACCATTTTGGCCAGGTTGGTCTTGAACTCCTGACCTCAAGTGGTCCATCCGCCTCGGCCTCCCAAAGTGCTGGGATTGCAGGTATCAGCCACTGCGCCTGGCCCTAATCTATGGATTTTACAGATTTTGAACTTAGGATATTTCAAAAGAGGTAAAAAAAACTTTACTGTGCTGCATTTATTTTGAATAATTTCTCATAGAGAGTTATTAAGGCCATCTGGTGGTCCTAGGCCAAGTTATAGAGATATATATTTAGAACTAGAGATAGAAAATGCCACACGCACATACAAGTAAAAAATATTGTGAAATCAATCTCTAGCTTCCTGAGGTTAGGTTAAGCCAAACATAAAATGGAAGGCTCAGCGTTCATCCCAATCAGCAAATAAGGTCGTGAGGAGAGGTAACAACACAAGATATGAAAATTTCAGGCTGGGGATGGCGGCTCACACCTATAACCCCAGCACTTTGGGAGGCCAGTGTGGGAGAACTGCTTGAGCCCAGAGTTTGAGAGCCTGGGCAACACAGTGAAACCTCATCTCTACAAAAAAATAAAAAATTAGCTGGGTGTGGTGGCATGCACCTGTAGTCCCAGTTACTCAGGAGGTTAACGTGGGTGTATTGCTTGAGCCCTGGAGGTCAAGGCTGCAGTGAGCTACGATCATGCCACTGTAGTCCAGCCTGGGCAACAGAATGAAACCCTGTCTCAAAAAAAAAAAAAAAAAAAAAAGAGAAGAAAAGAAAAAACGATGTGAAAAATTCAGATGTTGGTTATTAAAGCTTAGCACACATTTCCTTCTTAAAAATACTGGCTTCACCTGGAAGCCCCTAAGTGACAACCATACTGTATTTCTGTAAACTCTTTAGCAAAAATAAGAGTATCTTGTGCAGTAAAGGATTAACCTTGCCCAACGAGGGGTTTGGCCTTTACCCTTGGGTTCTAGGGGGTAACCGCTAAGCCTTGGGATGCCCTTCCCGTTAAAGAGTCTTTGTTCAGCTGGAGACCTAGAGCCACACAGTATCAGCATGACCTCTGGACGTCCTGGAGACTTACGCTGGCCATGTGGATGGTCAACCATGCCTACGTGACAGGACACCAAGCTCGAGCAAGCTTCCTTGGTGGACAACAGCCCGTGAGTACAGCCATGCTTCACTGCTGGGAAAAACAGGCATCTGCACAACTCTACTGTGAGAGGACAACTGGAAGCTCCTTGATTCGGTGTCTCTGGACAATATCCTATGTACCTCTTCCTTTGGCTGATTTTAATCTGTGTCCTTCTACTGTAGTAACATGAGTGTAATGTGGGTATGACAACTTTGCTGAGTTCCGTGGGTGTTTCTAGCAACTTACCCTATGAGTGGTCTTGGGGACCCCAAAATTACAGCTGATGTCAGAAGTGAGGGTGGTCTTAGGGACCTCTTGAATTTTGCAATACTTTTATTCAGTTTGTTGAATGAAAGCAGTGCAAAGCAGTGGTCAAGGGCAAGGGCTCAAGAGTCAGACAAGCCTGGCTTTTAAGCCCCAAACTCTACTTGTTAGAGGATCTTGGACAAGTTAACTTCTGATCCTTAAGTTGTTTATTTGTAAAATAGGGAAATACTTCTTTACAGTATTAAGTAAGATACACGTGTGTATGCGTATTTGTGTGTACATATTCCTTAGCACAAGCTAAAACACAAGCTACAAATGTCTAGCTATTATTATTAATGAATGAATAGAATGAATTCCAGTAAACAAAGAGAAGGCAAGACGTTAGTAGGCTTATTTTTATGGAGTATTCTGGATCCTAGAGAATTTAAATAAGTACTTGGAAGCAAAGCATACGTTAAAAAAAAGTATATACATATATATATACTTATATATGTCATTCCCAAGAAGAAACTCTGATTATCTAAAGATCTAAGTAGGCACATACTCCTACCTTGACATAGTAAGTGGTGAGTACTTTCCGAAGATCAAAGACTTGAAGCATAGAAGCAGCACTGTTATCAGTGATGCTATAACCCTCCAGAATGTACTTTGTGACTATCACTTCCCAAGCTAGCCATCGCTGGCTAAATGCAGCATTAAATGAAAGCATGTGAGGAATATGGCCAGGTTCACAACAGCAAAATCCTTCATCTTCCTCTACACCTTCAGTAATGGCCTCCACTTCCCGTTGTTGACAGTAGGTACCTTAGAGAGAGAGAGAGAGCTTTACAAAGGGGGAAAACCAGAAAGTGGGAAAAATGAATGCAAGGACACATAAGATTTAGAAAAAAATACATATTTTATTGCAATTGAAAGTATGTGATGGATTTGCCTTAGAATATTCATTAACAAATTGTAGCAAACTCCAGAAATCACGCATATTCTATATTCATATCCTGCAAAAACACAATGTGCATTAGCATTAGCACACTACGCTTTTTTTGTTTGTTTTGAGACAGAGTCTCCCTCTGTAGCCCAGGCTGGAGTGCAGTGGCGTGATCTCAGCCCACTGCAACCTCTGCCTCCTGGGTCCCGGTTCAAGTAATTTCCTGCCTTAGCCTCCAGAGGAGCTGGTATTACAGGCATGCGCCACCAGGCCCAGCTAATTTTTGTATTTTTAGTAGAGACGGGGTTTCACCATGTTGGTCTTGAACTCCAGACCTTGCGATCTGCCTGCCTCAGGCTTCCAAAGTGCTGAGATTACAGGCATGAGCCACCGCACTCACACTACGGGTCTGATAATTCGTGTGGTAAAGTAACTTTAATTTTGACTTACTGATTTCTAAATGTTTCAAATGGGTTTACAATTGTGTTTGTATCAAATGAAGGACCAAAGAGTAAAGGCACATCTCCTGAAGGTCTGAGTTAATTTTAGAAATACAAAAACCAGTGGAATGTTATTGAAGTAAAAATACAAAAACAGATTAAATATAGAATGAGACCCATAGCAATCTAGTGCCAGCAAAATACCATCTGTTACACTAATGTTAATTTTTATTTTGTTCTGTGGTCTTGTTTCAACTCAATTTGTAAATTCCTTATATTATGTAAAGACTATAAAGTAATCATACTTAACTGTACAGAAATCAGGCTGCACAATAATTTTTTTTCTTTAAAAGTAATATTAATACATACACCATCCATGTCTGAAAACCACTGCTTTGAGAGAAACTGATACCATGACACCTAGTCCCAGCTGATGGTGGTGGTGGTACGATGAAAGATAAGGCTAAAAAGGTTTTTATAGCCAAGCTAAGGAGCTGTGCTGTTTAGCACAGCTACAGAGTGCTCTTTAGCACTCTATAGCCCTCAATAATTCCATTAATTCATTTTCTTGTTTAATAACTGTCACCAACACTTCCATAATAATGTTACATAGTGTTGACAAGAAAAACCCTTGACTTGAACCTGACACTGATAGGAATACATGCTGTGGGTGACCATTTTATATGATACTGCCTAAAAATATACAGGCATACCTTGTTTTATTGTACTTTGCTTTACTGCTCTTTGAAGGCACTGTGATATCTACAAATTGAAGGTTTTTGACAACCTTGTGTCAAGCAAATCTATTGGTACCATTTTTCCAACAGCATGTGCTCACTTCCTGTCTCTGGATCACATTTTGGTAATTCTCTCAATATTTCAAACATTTCATTACTGTTGTATCTATAATGGTGATTTGTGATCAGTGATCTTTAATGTTAGTGTTCTAAGTACTTTGGAGTACCACAATTTATGCCCATATAAGATGGCAAACTTAAATTGACAAATGGTGTATGAACTCTGACTGCTCCACTGACCAGCCATTCCCCTACCTCTCCCTCTTTTCAGGCCTTCCCATTCCCTAAGACATAGCAATATTGAAATTTGGGCAATTTATAACACTACAATGGCCTCTAAGTGTTTAAGTAAAGAAACAGTTGCATGTCTCACTTCAAATCAAATGCTAGAAATAAGGAAGCTTAGTGAGGAAGGCATGTCAAAAGCCAAATGCATTAGTCCATTCTTGTGTTGCTGTAAAGAACTACCTGAGACAGGGTAATTTGTAATGAAAAGAGGTTTAACTGGCTCACAGTTCTGCAGACTGTACAGGAAGTGTGGCTGGGTAGGCCTCAGGAAACATAATCACGGTGTAAGGTGAAGGAGAAGCAAGCACATTTTACATGCTGGAGCAGAAGGAATAGGGTTAAGGGGGAGGCGCTATACACTTTTGAACAACCAGATCACATGAGGACTCACTATCATGAGAACAGCAAGGGGAAAATCTACCCCCATGATCTAATCACATCCCACCAAACCCCTCCTCCAACACTGGGTATTACAATTCAACATGAGATTTGGGCAGGGACACAAATCCAAACCGTATCACCAGGATGGGCCAAAAGTTAGGCCTCATGCACCAAATAGCCAAGTTGTGAATGCAAAGGAAACATTCTTGAAGAAAATTAAAAGTGCTACTCCAGTGAACAAACAAAAGATAAGAAAGCAAAAAAGCCTTATTGCTGATATGGAGAATGTTTGAGTGGTCTGGAGAGAAGATCAAACCAACTATAACATTCCCTTAAGCCAAAGCCTGATCCAGAGCAAAGCTCTAACTCTCTACAATTCTTTGAAGGCTGAGAAGCAAGCAAGCTGCAGAAGAAAAGTTGGAAGCTAGTAGAGATTGGGTCATGAGGTTTAAGGAAAGAAGCTGTCTTCATAACATAAAACTGCAAGGTGAAGCTGCAAGTGCTGACGTTAAAGCTGCAGCAAATTATCCAGAAGATCTAGCTAAGATCACTGATGAAGGTGGCTACACTACAACAACAGATTTTCAAAATAGACTAAACATCCTTACACGGAAAGAAGATGCCATCTAGGACTTTCACAGCTAGAGAGGAGTCAATGCCTGGCTTCAAATCTTCAAAGGACAGGCTGACTCTCTTTGATAGGGTCTAACGGAGCTGCTAAGTTTAAGTTGAAATGCTCATTTACCATTTCAAAAATGCTAGAACCTTTAAGAATTATGCTAAATTTCCTCTAACTGTGCACTATAAATGGAATAACAAAGACTGGATGACAGCACATCTGTTTATAGCATGGTTTACTGGATATTTTAAGCCTACTGTTCAGACCTTCTGCTCCAAAAAAAGGATTCCTTTCCAAATATTACTACTCATTGACAATGCACCTGATCACCCAAGAACTCTGATGGAAATGTACAAGACATTAGTGTTGCCTGCTAAGACAACATCCGTTCTGCAGTCTGTACATCAAGAAATAACTGCAACTGTCAAGTCTTATTACTTAAGAAATAAATTTTGTAAGGCTATAGCTGCCACAGAGGGATTCCTCTGATGAGTCTGGGCAAAGTAAACTGACAACTTCCTGGAAGGGATTCACCCTTTTAGATGCCAGTAAGGACATTCATGATTCATGGGAGGAGGTCAAAATGTCAACACTAATAGGAATTTGAAATAAGTTGATTCATGGATGACTTTGTGGGGTTTCAAGACTTCAGTGGTGGAAGTAATTGCAGATATGGCAGGAATAGCAAGAGAAGCAGAATTAGAAGTGAAATCTGAAGGATGTGGCAGAATTGCTATAATATCCTGATAAAACGTAAAGAGCTGACGCGTTGTTTCTTATGGTTGAGAAGAAAGCAGTTTCTTGAGAAGAAATTGACTCCTAAGTGAAGATGTTGTGAGCCTTGGTTAAAATGACAACAAAGGATTTATAATACTACATAAACTTGATGAATAAAGCAATAGCAAAAAGTTTGAGAGCACTGACTCCAATTTTGAAAGAAATCATACTATGGGCAAATGCTATTAAACAGCATCGCATGCTACAGAGGAATCCTTCATCAAACAAAGAGTCAATAAATGTAGCAAACTTCATTGTTGTCTGATTTTAAGATCTTGCCAAAGCTGCCCCAACCTTCGGCAATCACCAACCTGACCAGTTAGCAGCCATCAACATCGGGGCAAGACCCTCCATCAGCAAAAAGATTACAACTCACTGAAGGCTCAGATCATCCTTAGCATTTATTAGCAGTAAATTTTTAAAATTAAGATATGTAGTACATTCTTTCTTTAGCCATAATGCTATTGCACATTTAATACACTACCATATAATGTAAACATAACTTTTATATGCAGTGGAAAACCAAGCAATTTGTGTGACTTGCTTTACTGCGATACTTACTTTACTGCAGTGGTCTGAACCCAACATGCAATATCTCCAAGGTATGCCAGTAATACATACACATGTTTTTCAACATAATAAAAACATATGCAATATTATAAAGTGTCTTTTAAACCAATAATAGAAATGAAATTAATCAAACATCTTCTGACATCTTTTGAGAGGATCATGTTTTACTACAGTGACCTTTTAAAATAGAATTCTATTAATTTGCTAATATTTAAATTGACTTTAAAAATGAAAAATGGTTCAATTTTTTTAGAGATACTGATATGGTTTGGCTGTGTCCCCACCCAAATCTGATCTTGAATTGTAGCTCCCATAATTCCATAATTGTGAGAGGGACCTAGTGGGAGATAGCTGAATCATGGGGGCAGTTCCCACATACTGTTCTTGTGGTAGTAAGTAAGTCTCAAGAGATCTGATGGTTTTATAAGGTGTTTCCCCTTTTGCTTGGCTCTTATTCTGTCTTGCCTGCTGCCATGTAAGATATGCCTTTCACCTTCTGCCATGACTGGGAGGCCTCCCCAGCCACATGGAACTGTTAAGTCCATTAAATCTCTTTTTCTTTATAAATTACCTAGTCTCGAGTACGTGTTTATCAGCAGTGTGAGAACAGACTAATATAGGCACTTATAAAAAAGGACTGCTAGTTTCTGCTTACTTTGCAATTGCAGGATTTTTGCATCTATAGGCACAAGCAAAATTAAACTATACTTATTTTTTATGTGAACTTATATACATGTATACAAAATGTATATATCCATATATGTATGTATGTGTAGAAGTATACATAATATATAATGTATATAAAATATATAAATGTTATTTGTATATTATATATACATACATATATGCATGTATATGTTCACATAAAAAATAACTGTAATTTTGCTTGTGACTATACATGCAACAATATATGTATATATATTTTTATACACACACACACACACACACACACACACACACGCACGTACATACAAACCTAAAAAGTCTACCAACCAAAGAGTCCAGGACTGGACGGATTCACACAGTATATGTATGTATACATATATATACATATATATGTGTGTGTGTATACATATGCACATATATATGTATATACACATATATACATATACATACATATATACATATACATATAAATACATATATATACGTATACATAAATATACACACATATATGTATACATGTATGTATACATATATATACACATATATATATTTTTTGAGATGGAGTCTCACTCTGTCACCCAAGCTGGAGTGCAGTGGCACAATCTTTGCTCACAGCACCCTCCACCTCCTGGGTTCAAGCGATTCTCCTGCCTCAGCCTCCTGAGTAGTTGGGATTACAGGTGTCCACCACCATGCCTGGCTAATTTTTTTTTGTATTTTTAGTAGAGACGGGGTTTCACCATGTTGGTCAGGCTGGTCTCGAACTCCAAACCTCAGATGATCCACCCGCCTAGGCCTCCCAAAGTGTTGGGTTTATGGGTGTGAGCCACTGTGCCCAACCCACTTAGTCACATTTTGATATCAGTATTACATTAGTTTTTTAAAAGCTTGGAGAAATTTAGCTTTTTTCTCCATGTGCTACAACTAATTAGAAATTTCTAGAAGAAACTTCCAAAGCCTTTTTTTTAATTGTGAAACTGAACAACCAGCTCCTGAATGACTACTATAATGACTACTAGATATATATAACGAAATGAAGGCAGAAATATATAAGTGCTTTGAAACCAATAAGAACAAAGACACAACGTACCAGAATCTCTGGGACACAGCTAAAGCAGTGTTTAGAGAGAAATTTATAGCACTAAGTGCCCACAAGAGAGAGCAGAGAAGATCTAAAATCAACACCCTAACATCACAATTAAAAGAACTAGAGAAGCAGGAGCAAACGAATTCAAAAGGTAGCAGAAGACAAGAAATAACTAAGATCAGAGCAGAACTGAAGGAGACAGAGACACAAAAAACCCTTCAAAAAAATCAATGAAGCTAGGAGCTGGTTTTTTGAAAAGATCAACAAAATAGAACAATAGTCAGACAAATGAAGAAAAGAGAGCAGAATCAAATGGACACAAAAAATGATAAAGGAGATATCACCACCGATCCCACAGAAATACAAAGTACCATCAGAGAATACTATAAACACCCCTATGCAAATAAACTAGAAAGTCTAGAAAAAAAATAGATAAATTTCTGGACACATACACCCTCCCACATATAAACCAGGAAGAAGTTGAACCCCTGAATAGACCAATAACAAGTTCTGAAATTGAGGCAGTAATTAATAGCCTACCAACCAAAGAGAGTCCAGGACTGGACAGATTCACAGCCGAATTCTACCAGAGGTATAAAGAAGAGTTGGTACCATTCCTTCTGAAACTATTCCAAACAATAAAAAGAGAGGGACTCCTCACTAACTCATTTTATGAGGCCAGCATCATCCTGATACCAAAACCTGGCAGAGACATTAAAAAAAAAAAAGAAAATTTCAGGCCAATATACCTGATGAACATCAATGAGAAAATCCTCAATAAGATACTGGCAGACAGAATCCAGCAGCACATCAAAAAGCTTATTCACCATGATCAAGTTGGCTTCATCCCTGGGATGCAAGGCTGGTTCAACATACGCAAATCAATAAACGTAATCCATCACATAAACAGAACCAATGACAAAAACTATATGATTATCTCAATAGATGCAGAAAGGGCCTTCAATAAAATTCAACAGCCCTTCATGCTAAAACCTCTCCATAAACTAGGTATTGATGGAACCTATCTCAAAATAATAAGAGCTATTTATGACAAACCCACAGCTAATATCATACTGAATGGGCAAAAACTGGAAGCATTCCCTTTGAAAACCAGCACAAGACAAGGATGCCCTCTCTCACCACTCATATTCAACACACTATTGGACGTTCTGGACAGGGCAATCAGCCAAGAGAAAGAAATAAAGGGTATTTAAATAGGAAGAGAGGAAGTCAAATTGTCTCTGTTTGCAGATGACATGATTGTATATTTAGAAAACCCCACTGTCTCAGCCCAAAATCTCCTTAAGCTGATAAGCAACTTCAGCAAAGTCTCAGGATACAGATCAATGTGCAAAAATCACAAGCATTCCTATATACCAATAACAAACAGAGAGTCAAATCATAAGTGAACTCCCATTCACAACTGCTACAAAGAGAATAAAATACCTAGGAATACAACTTACAAGGGATGCGAAGGTCCTCTTCAAGGAGAACTACAAACCACTGCTCAAGGAAATAAGAGAGGACATAAACAAATGGAAAAACATTCCATGCTCATGGATAGGAAGAATCAATATTGTGAAAATGGCCATACTGCCCAAAGTAATTTATAGATTCAATGCTATCCCCATCAAGCTGCCACTGACTTTCTTCACAGAATTAGGAAAAACTACTTTAAATTTCATATGGAACCAAAAAAGAGCCCACATAGCCAAGACAATCCTAAGCAAAAAGAACAAAGCTGGAGGCATCATGCTACCTAACTTCAAACTATACTACAAGGCTACAGTAATCAAAACAGCATGGTACTTGTACAAAACAGATATATAGATCAATGGAACAGAACAGAGGCCTCAGAAATAATGCCACGCATCTGCGACCATCTGATCTTTGACAAACCTGACAAAAACAAGCAATGGGGAAAGGACTCCCTATTTAATAAATGGTGTTGGGAAAACTGGCTAGCCATATGCAGAAAACTGAAACTGGACCCCTTCCTTACACCTTATACAAAAATTAACTCAAGATGGATTAAAGATGTAAATCTAAGACCTAAAACCATAAAAACTCTAGAAGAAAAGCTAGACAATACCATTCAGGACATAGGCATGGGCAGACTTCACAACTATAACACCAACAGCAATGGCAACAAAAGCCAAAATAGACAAATGGGATCTAAACTAAAGAGCTTCTGTAAAGCAAAAGAAACTATCATTAGAGTGAGCAGGCAACCTACAGAATGAGACAAAATTTTTGCAATCTATCCATCTGACAAAGGGTTAATATCCAGACTCTACAAATAACTTAAACAAATCTACAAGAAAAAAACAAACAACCCCATCGAAAAATGGGCAAAGGATATGAACAGACACTTCTCAAAAGAAGACATTTATGTGGTCAAAAAACATATGAAGAAAAGCTCATCATCAGTGGTCATTAGAGAAATGCAAATCAAAACCACAATGAGATACCATCTCAAGCCAGTTACAATGGCGATCATTAAAAAATCAGGAAACAACAGATGCTGGAGAGGATGTGAAGAAATCAGAATGCTTTTACACTGTTGGTGGGAGTGTAAATTAGTTCAACCATTGTGGAAGACAATGTGGCGATTCCTCAAGAATCTAGAACTAGAAAAACCATTTGACCCAGCAATCCCATTAATGGGTATATACCCAAAGGATTATAAGTCATTCTACTATAAAGACACATGCACATGTATGTTTATTGTGGCACTGTTAACAACAGCAAAGACTTGGAGCCAACACAAATGCCCATCAATGATAGACTGGATAAAGAAAATGTGGCATATATACACCATTGGAATACTACGCATCCATAAAAAAGGATGAGTTCATGGCCTTTGCAGGGACATGGATGGAACTGGAAACTGTCATTCTCAGCAAACTAACAGAAGAACAGAAAACCAAACACCACATGTTCTCACTCATAAGTGGGAGCCGAACAGTGAGAACACATGGACACAGGGAGGGGAACATCACATACCCAGGCCTGTCGGGGGATGGGGGCCAGGGGAGGGATAGCATTAGGAGAAATACCTAATGTAGATCACTAGTTAACGGGTGCAGCAAGCCTCCATGGCATGTGTATACCTATGTAACAAACCTGCATGTTTTGCACATGTACCCCAGAACTTAAAGTATATTAAAAGAAAATTGTAACATGAAGTTGAGACTATTTCTTAGTTTTATGTGTTACTACTTCATTTTTCTTTCTTTCCAGGAAGTTTATCAAAGATTTTTAAATGACGAAATAACACAAGAGCTGTATTTTGTGCAGATCACTGTTAGTGGTGGACAGAAATCATACATGGCAAGAGGAAATGTAAAAGTTTGGACATTTACCCAACTGAGGTCCTTGTTTATAGCAGCAGAATAAGGAGAATGGGATACCTGAATTAAAGCAGAATGTTTTTACTCTACCATTCTAATCCCATGACTATTTCCACCCAATATGCCCTACTAATATATTTTGCTCAGAAAATGAAGTCAATAATTATAGCAATATTAATAATTGAAAAAAGATTTTTTTTCTGAGCAAAATGTATTACTAGGAGATATTCTGTTTTCAATTATTAATATTAATTAATAGGGATTCTATGAGGAACTATTACCAACTGTTCCCTGGATTACCTAAATCTTCCAGTCACTTCATAGTGAATATTACTGATAAAACTAAATAAAACAAACAATCATGAAAATAAGGCATGTTTAACCTGAGTAAAAATGGAAAGGAATCCAGTCAGCCGAACATACTGTTGATGTGTAAAGTTTGACTTCTAAAACTGTACCTGGTACAGTTTACACTTATCAGTAAAAAATTAACATGAAAGAAAGTGTAATCAGAAAATTCTGATATAGACAAAAAATGACTGATAACCCAAATTTTTCACATAAAGTTTACATGGAAAGAATCTAGAGTATCTGTAAAATAAAAATGGAAATGAGAAATATGAATGGGTTTAACTAAGAGCTATAAAAACTGATCAAGAAACTTGTTTCAATATTACTTAAAAGTAAGCATCCAGGATAGACAAATAAAATTTAAAAATAATAAATTGGCTGAATGGAGTCTGTCTTGGAAAGTAGATAAAATGCTCAGCAGATCCAAATATCTGCCTGGCAAAATAATGACACTTTTGATTAATATTTGGCAGACGGGTAGGTGAGACAGGGGATCACACTATAAAGAAAAGGAAGTAACCAAAGATCACATCAACATGTGAGCAAGAGTATACTCATCCCTCATGAGAGCTCTGGAATGAACAGAAAGAAGAAAAGGCTACACACTTACATTATTTAATCAGTCTACGAAACTAACAAAATACTTATTATATACTAATTGCTGTGTGTGATAGGTACTGGGTACATAATGATAAATGAAGTACATGTGATTCCTGCCCTTTACAATCTGCCTATATTCTAAAACAAAGATTGATCAACTTCAGCCCAGGGCCAAATCCAAGCTTAGAATGGTTTTGATATTTTTAAGGGGTCATTTAAAAGAAAGAGAAAACAACAAAGAAGAATATGCAACAGAGAATGTGTATGGCTCTCAAACCCTAAAATATTTACTGTCTGGTTCCTAACAGAATAAGTAGGCCAACCCTTTGGCTAGAGAAAAAATAAACTTTAAACAATAAACAGTCACATGTTGCATAACTATGGGGATACATTCTGTGACATGCGCTGTTAAGAAATTTCGTTGTGCAAACATCATAGAATGTACTTACACAAACCTAGATGGTACAGCCTGCTACACATTTTGGCTATATAATATAGCCTATTGCTCCTAGGTTAAACACACCTGTACAGCATGTTATAGTACTGAATAATGTCACTAACGGTAATACAATGGTAGGTATCTGTGTATCTGAACACATCTAAACACAGAAACGGTACAGTAAAAATATGGCAAAAAGATAAAAAATGGTATATCTATATAGGGCACTTGCCACAAATGGAGTTTGCAGGACTGGAAGTTGCTCTGGGTGAGTCACTGAGTCAGTAGTGAGTGAGTGTGAAGGCCTAGGGTGTTACTGTACACTACTGTAGACTTTATAAACACTATACCTTAGGCTACATGAAATTAATTATTTTCTCCAATAATAAATTTACCTAAGCTTACTGTAACTTTTTTACTTTATAAACTTTCAATTTTTTTAAACTTTTTGACTCCTTTGTAATAACGCTTAAATTAAAACACATATTGTATAGCTGCATAAAAATATTTTTTCCTTATATCCTTATTCTGTAAGCTTTTTTAAAATTTTTTTAATTTTTAAACTTTTTTGTTAAAAAATTTTTTAAACATTTTAAAATGTTTTAAAACTTTTAAAAATTTGTTTAGAAAAATTTTTAAATATTTTTAAAATTTAAAATTTTTTTACTTTTTAAGCTTTTTTGTTAAAAACTAAGACACAAACACACACACTAGCCAAGGTCTACACAGGCTCAGGGTCATCAATATCACTGGCTTCCACCTACACATCTTATCCCACTGGAAGGCCTTCAGAAGCAATGACACACATGGAGCTGCCATCTCCTATGACAACAATGACTTCCTCTGGATACCCCCTGAAGGACCTGCCTGAGGCTCTTCTTGAGGAGGTATCACTCTTTGAAAAATTATGTCCACAATAGTTTGCTTGGTTTGTTTCTTTCATTCATCATAGATTTGCTTGTTGTATGCAGATAATGCAGCAAGAACATTCCTCTCTATTAATGAAAACCTTTTGGTGTTATGGTCCATGTTTTCAAACTTTTTAAGGAGCTTGTTGAGCTCCTTAAAAAGCTTCTGCTAAAGCTTCTGCTAAAACCCTTCACTGTGAATTTTCTTGGGGTTTCTTCTTTTTCTTCTCTAGCTGTTTCCCTTTCTCTGGCCTGTTCTTCAGCTATGTGTTCCTGTTCCAGTTCCAACAACCCCTCATTAGTCAGTTCCTCAGGAACCACCTCTAGGTGCTCATCAATGTCATCCTTGTCCACACCATGGTTAAAGTTGCTTGCCATCCCAACCACAGCCATGTTGATTTTTGCAATCTCTTCATCCTTGGCAAATCCTTTGAAGTCACAGATGAACCTCTTGAGTGTCTTCTTCCAGATGCCATTCATACCCATATTGGTGACATCACCCTAAGCAAGGTTCTTGATGCAGTCATAGATGTAATCCTTCCAGAATTGCATCAGTGTCTTTTCAGTTGCAGAAATAGCCTGGGTAAATGTCCTTCTCAGGTGGTAGGTCTGAAAAGCTGCGACAACTTCTTGATCCATTGGTTGGATCAGAGAGGTGGGTGTTTGGAGGCAGAAATACCACTTTGATACCGGGATAAAGATCACCAATAAAAGGAGGATGTGTGGAGCATTATCAACAATAAGCACAATCTTGAATGGTATGTTATTCTCCAAACAGTACTTCTCCATTGTGCTGGCAGAGCAATTCAGGAGGGCATCTGGGAAGAAAAGCTGGGTCATTCAAGACTTCTGATTGCTCCTGCAATACACTGGCAGTGTGTGCTTAGTGATAAGCTTGAAGGCCCTGGGGTTCTCACTGGGCCAGATCACAAAGGGCTTCCATTTGTAACCTGCAACGTTTCTCCCATGCAAGACTGTTATCCTGTCCTTAATAACTTGAAACCTGGCATTGACTTGGCCTCTTTATGGATGAAAGTCCTTTCCAGTATCTGTTTTCAGAATAGCAAGCTTTCATCTATACTGAAGATTTGCCCTGTGAAGTAATTTTCCTCACAATCAGCTTATCTAGAGTTCCAAAAATTCTTCAGCTGCTTTCACATCAGCATTTACAGACTCACCACTCACCAGCTTTCACATTATGCAATAAATAACAATTCTTGAATAAAATCACACAGAGCTAGCAGAAAATTCAACACTGTAGTTGTGTTCAATCTTATCTTTCAATATCGCAAACAAACTTTTTGTTTTGTCTGTGATTGTCATGATGCTGAGAGGTATAATATGCTTCTGTGTCTGGTCTTCAGTAGTTTCTCCATGTATGATTTAGGCCCTTTTCAAATTTTTGTTCATCTTTTTGTCTTCAATGAAGCAGATCCTTTAATGGCTTCTGTCACTTTGTTCTTGTTCTTCAAGATCACAGCTATGGTGGAATGGGACATAATTACCTGACAACAACCATTGCTGATTTGCCACCTTCATAGTCCTTAATCACTTTTAATTTAGCTTCCTGGTCAATCTACTCGATGTGGCCTCTTCCTGGCAACAATAGCTGTGAATTTTGCACATGTAGGGGCCATAAAATCGAATGACACAAGATCAAATCAAACACAGAGAAAATGATGCAATCAAGAGATACAGTAAATGTGAGATGTATGAGTCTGCCACTAGCATAACAAGACATACTGTTCTAAAGTAAACTTTTTTTTCTAAGTACAAGGAGTACATTCTAACCATAAAAAGTATAGCATAATATAATAAACACATAGTTGTTTATTATCATTATCTAGTACTATGTACTGTACATAATTGTATGTGCTAGATTTTTACATGACCAGTAGCATAGTTTTGTTTATACCAGCATCACCATAAACACAAGTAATGCTTTGTGATAGGACAGAATGGCTACGATGTCACTAACAGGAATTTTTCAGTTCCATTATAATCTTAAGGGACCATTGTGATATGTGCAGTCCATTGCTGCAGTCCATGACTGTGTAAGAATCTAACGATAAAAACATGGTAAAGTGAGATAATCACGTGGGATAGGTGGCTAGAGAAGGCTTCTCTGAGAAAGGGACATTCAGGCAAAGGAATCAGCCAGATGGAGGATTAGGGGAGAAAGAGAGATGGCTGGCACTTTCTGGCAAAATGAAGGGCAATAAGGAGTCCTTAGTAAAGAATTTAGCACATCTAAGAAACTGCAAGAAGGCCAGTGTGGCTACAGTGAGTGCAGATAGTGCTGTAAAGTGAGGATGGAGAAACTGGCAGAGGCCAGATCACAGAGTACCATAGGATGTGTTCAGGCATTTGAATTCTATGTTAAATGCAATGAGAAGTCACTGAAAAATTGTAAGCGTGCGAATGCCATGATCAAATGTGTCTTTAAAAAAATCCCGGCTGGGTGTGGTGGCTCGCACCTACAATCTCAGCACTTTGGGAGGTCAAGGCTGGAGGGTCGCTTGAGCTCAGGAGTTCAAGACCAGCCTTGGCAAGGTGGTGAGACTCCTATCTATACAAAAGTAAAAATTAAAAAAAAATTAGCCAGGAGTGGTGGTGTGCACCTGTAGTCCCAACTACTCAGGAGGCTGAGGCAAGAGGATCCCTTGAGCCCAGGAGTTTGAGGATGTAGTGAGCTGTGATCACGCCACTGCACTCCAGCCTGGGTGACAGAGCGAGACCCCTGTCTCTTAAAAAAAAAAATGCTAATGTCTGAGTTAAGAATTACAGGTATCCCTTGTTACCCAAATCTATAGGAGTTCAAAGAGTAAGGGTTGCTGTATTTTCAAATTTGAGTTTTGATTGGCAAATAATTAGCATTTAGATAGCAAAAGATTTATCCAAAAGTTTATCTGAATCTACTCAATACCAGAGAATAAAAATCTGGATAACTTTTCTGATTTGGAGAACTACTGATCAATATGATGGAGTGAGCAGATGGTAAGAAGAACCACCCCCCCTTTCATTTCACATATGTAGAAATGTTAGATAAAACAGCCTCCCATGCACATTTATTTTAAAAAATTAAAATTAAAAAACAAGGATGAAGTCTTCAGGTGCCAAAACTTAAAAAGGAAGCTAAAAGTCACAGCAGTAGCAGGAATGGTGGTAAGGGTATGCTAACTTTTGGATGAGCCTAGTTGGATTAGGATTGAACAGCCTGGGGTTAAGACTCTGGAAGAGATGGAGTTAAGGTCCTAGGCTCCTGATGGAGAGGCAGAAACAAATATTCATAAGGCAAGAATAAGATATTTTGAAGGAAAAGAGAATATGAATGGATTATAAACAGATCACAAGTAAACATCAACATTTACTCCGCATTAATTTGAGTGCTGCATAGCTAAAGATTTATTTCTAGCAAACAGTGTAACTTCTAGACTAGTACTTGCTCCACTAACATAGACACTACATAGCTAAGGTGCAAGCCTTCTTATGCAACACCAGGATGAAAATAAAGCTATGGGGTTATAGATCTGACTTCCTTCTCTTTCTAGTCAAATGCTTTCTTATTTCTATTCCAGACTAAAACTACTCCAAAGCACTTAGAATAGATGAAAAACTCTCTGAAAACTCAAGTCAAAATGTTTCCTAGACTGGAAAGATATTCAGTAACAGGACTTCAAGCATCCTGTGAAACCAGTTTCTACTTGTGCTTACATGTTATTCAGTTTTACAGGAATTGATAACATAAAGTTGATGTTTCTGAATGCGTGATTTTCTGTAAAGAAATAACTTTATCAGTATATAAAATTGTAGAGGGCTGATGGAAAGGAGAATGGCCAGTAACTACTTAATGGGTACACCGTTTTATTTTGGAGTGATGAAAATGCTTTGGAATGAGACAGAGGTGGTGGCTGCCCAACACTGTGAATGTACTAAACGCTCCTGTGATTTCTTTGCTCTAAATATCAATTTTATTTTATGTGAATTTCACCTCAATTAAAAAAAATTGTTGGAAGACAAAGGCATGGTGTTTATATGAACATAACTCAGTTAACTATTCTGCCTCACACAAAAATTCAGCATTCCATGCTGCTAGCCACCTAACAAATTTATGCAACTGGTCACAAAAGGGACCAGCAAGAGACCAAGCACAGAACAACAGAAATTCAACATATCTAGGAAAACAAATCAATTACACACTAATGCTACTACCTTTACATATAAAGCCATATTGCAAACATGATTCTTCTTGGAATATGGAATGTGGGGTGAAAAAATCTAATACTTACTCTTTAACAACTTTTCTCATTCCACAATCCCAAATATCTAATTCTATGACAACTTCTGGTTTGAGATAGAAACATGTAAAACTAAGGTGCCACAGGAGTATGCTACAGAAATAAAAGGTGAATGAATGTCTTACCTCTGAATTCAAGTCCCCGCAGCTGAAAAGTGACCAGACCATTGCCTATCTCTATAAGGTGTACTAATGCATTGAGATAGTCAGAGGCAAGGATGAAACAGTCCCCTGTACTGTAGTTTCCCCACCGTCCTAGTAGCAAATCACCACAGAGGCTGTGCTGTAGGGATCTAGTTAAATGCTCATAAAAGATGGAATTCAGATTGTTGTCATCTGATCCTATAAAAAGAGATTTTAAAAAAAGTTAAATTTAACCTTAAGTCCTCTTGACAAACAAGATTGTTAAAAATATTAAAAACTTCTAGTATGGGGTTATATTTATTTGACAAGGAAAATAACATTCATACCCTTACAGTTTCTATACAAAAGTAAAACAGGAAAATGGAAAAGGTTTCTGAATTTAGATTTAGAAGTCACATAACCTCCCGGAATCTATGGTTCTCATTCACAAAATGTGAGAATTTGATTTGAAGCAATCTAAGGACTTTTTGACCTCTTCAACAGTTCGTAATTATTCAATAAAATATGCTTTATAATTAAAACCATGGAAGAGAAATGAGGAAAATAAAAGAATTCAGAAGAAGAACAAAAGACTATTTAGTAAAGGAAGTAGATAAAATAATACAAGATTTGAACAAATAAGACAATCAAAAAGAAGCTGGTTAGTCAATATTAGCCATATTGAGATGGCTAATGTTAAGCAGAGATAAACTGTATATAGCAACAGAGAACCTTAAAAAAAGACATTAAGATAGGCTGGGTGTGGTGGCTCATGCCTGGAATCTCAGCACTTTGGGAGGCTGAGGTGGGCAGATCACTTCAGGCCAGGAGACTAACCTGGGCCAACATGGCAAAACCCTGTCACTACTAAAAATACAAAAATTAGCTGGGCATCATGGTGCACGCCTGTAATCCCAGCTACATGGGAGGCTGAGAAGGCAGAATTGCTTGAACTTGGGAGGTGGAGGTTGCAGTGAGCTGTGACTGTGCCACTGCACTCCAGCCTGGGTGACAGAGAGAGACTCTGTCTCCAAAAAAAAAAAGAAAAAGAAAGAAAAACATTAAAATAAACATCACTTAATAAATTACATGACCATCTCTAGAAGTAACTCATGCAAAGCGATAATCTGTAAATGCATGCCCCAAGCATAGTATTGGAGAATGGTAAAATATTCAGAGCTTAATAATTATTTTAAACCCAGTCTAATTGAATAAAATAATGAAAGGGAAACTCCAAATTCTAATGTCAACAAAATGGCTGTATCAATTCTATGTCAGCACAACACACAAAAATGTATATACTGATTCAGGGCATGGCCTTTGGTTATGCAGGATGGCATCATCAGCATGAGAAATCTAGCCCTTTACAAGCACATACCAGAGCTGAAATGCTTATTTTCTCTACCAGAACATGATGACGATGGTCATTAGTATCAAATAACTAGTTCTCCTTAGTCCAATTTTATCACTGAGAATTAATCAGATTTGAAGGAATTTGTAAGTCAAATGGATACAAATATTCCAGTGTATTTGGGAGTAATATTTATTTTAGTAAATTAATACACTGAGGTTCTGGATGATATGCTAATCTCTGATTCTCTGTGACAGATTACTATTGGGTGGGCCAATAAAATGATGTTTCCCAAATGACAAAACTAAGAACCAGACTTTAGATAATGGTAACACCAGCAAGGTGTCACCCACTGAAGCTCTATCCTGACTGGCTATATGCTCCCACTTGATGACATCTCTGTAAACAATAAACTGAATCAAATTAAATTAATATTGACCAAAACATTGAGGGAAGGGTGGAAGGAAACATACTAATAAAACATGTGTCAGTCTGACTGCAGACCCTTCAAACATCTGACCAGTTTTATTTTAACTGTTTTTCTACATTTTAACCTATGTAAGAACAATCTTTGAATGGAATTTTTCATTCTTATAAGCATTCTTAAGATGCATTTTATAAAAAGATGGGCATATAAACTGTAGATACTGTAATTTATATATATTTTGCTAAAGTAAAACAAATAATATTTAGTTTTTAAAAGTGAATATTTGGGATTCATAGAGGATTCCCAACAAGTTAGGAGTGAATATAAACATATATATATAAAACAAATCCTTAGTCTTGCCTCCTTAGTCACAAATAGAGCTATTACCTGGATTTCTATCAAGCTGGGAAGCCAATCTGGTATTTGAATGATCCACTCGTTTTGTGCTAAAGAAAATAAAACATTTTTAGTAACTTTCTTTACATTAAAAAATATTTAACAATTTAGACTGAGGAAGAAACTATAGGAAATGTATAAAATAAAGGTTATCACTTTATGAAAATCTCTGGAAAAAATCTGTGATTAGTATAATGATAAAATGCCTTAGCACACTTTTGGAAATTAAAAAAAAATTCTTCCCCCTTCACCACACATGAACATAGCAGTTTTTTTTTTATTGTACAGTGTATGGAAAGACATCTAGGCATGCACTGTGAGAAAAAAGCTGACCAGGATGAAAAAAATGTATACTGTATATGGTTCTTAAAAATTCAAAGAGGTTAGAACATTCTTTGCCAAAGGAAGGTGTATGTATTAATGCTCAGTGATGCAATGTTCTTTGGAACAGTAGTTCCCAAAATGTGGTCCACAGAACCTAAGGCTCTTTCAGGCAGTTTTCCAGATCAAAACTATTTTCAAAGTAACACTGAGCTGTTATTTGCTTTTTACACTGTGTTGACAACTGCACTGGTGGTACTAAAGCAATGGTAGGTAAGACTGTGGTGCCTGGGCATTAATCAAGGCAGCAGCACCAAACTGTTCTACCCTTCGCTGCCACACTTGCACAATAAAGCAAACAAAAAGTCCAAGTTTCACAAAAAAATGTCCCTAATGAAGCAATAAAAAGTATTAACCTTAATAAATCTCAACTCACAGTAAAGGCCTTTTTAATACTCTGTATGGCAAAATGAGAAAATACGTATGAAGCACTTCTGCTGCCTTCTGAAGTACAACGGCTGTCATGAGGGCAAGTATTTGTGCAACTGCTTGAACTCCGAGCTGAACTAGCTGCGTTTTTTTCTTGGAACACCATTTTTACTTAACACTGATGGAAAAATTATGAGATTATTTAGATGTGGTCATTTAACAGATATTTCCCAAAAATAAAGAAAGTGAGCCTGTTATTTCAAGGAAAACAACTGGCAATACTTGTTGACAATAATAAAAATCCAAATTTTCAAGCAAAAATTAAAATTTGGGAAACTCCTATCTACCACCATAAGCTTGACAACTTCCCAATAATTAAAATTTCTTTCCGATTGGTGGTGATGCCAATGAACATATTTTAAAATTCACTACATAATAAAATGTATCAACATTTAGAAAATCTACATTACTCAGTGAAGCAGTATTTTCCAAATGACCAACACAAAATGTTAAAAAATTATGCATGGGTAAAAGATCCATTCAGGATATAAGACAGATGAGTGAATTTTGATGTAATATAGTCCCACAAGTTCACAGATATGGTTTTAGATTCCATATTGCAAGTAGCTTTTAAGAAGCTCCCATTTCTTGGGTTTCAGTGAAAGATCAAAGAAAAATATCCATGATTGTCTTAAAAGGCTATTAGAATACTTCTTTTTTGCCTGGGCAAGGTGGCTCATGCCTGTAATCCCAGCACTTTGAGAGGCCAAGGCAGGCAAATCACTTCAGATCAGGAGTTTGAGACCAGCCTGGCCAACATGGTGAGTGAAGGTGAATTTTTTTTTTCAGCTACTTCAATCAAAACAATATACTGCACCTGACTGAATGTACAGGTAGATACAAGAATCCAGCTGTCTTTTAATAACCCAGACATTAAGAGATTTGCAAAACTATATAACAATGCCACTCTTCTCACTAATTTTTTGGGGGAGTGGAAATATAGTTATTCTTAACTTTAAAATGTTATTTATGCTAATATACAATAGATACGACATTGTTATTTTTAAATTAGTTAATAAGTAAACATTTGAAATTTTTGAGTTTTTCTTTCCACTCTAGTAAATATTAGTAGATAAAATCCATATTTTTAAAACTCTGGTGTTTCCAATAATTTTTAAGACCATAAGGCCGGGCACAGTGGCTCACGCCTGTAATCCCAGCACTTTGGGAGGCCGAAGCGGGTGGATCACCTGAGCTCAGAAGTTCAAGACCAGCCTGGTCAACATGGTGAAACCCCATCTCAACTAAAAATACAAAAAATAGCCAGGTGTGCTGGTGGGCGCCTGTAATCCCAGCTACTCGGGAGGCTGAGGCAGGAGAATTGCTTGAACCTGGGAGGCGGAGGTTGCAGTGAATCAAGATGGCGCCATTGCACTCCGGGAGGCGGAGGTTGCAGTGAGTCGAGATTGTGTCATTGCACTCCAGCCTGGATGACAAGGGCAAAACTCTGTCTCAAAAAAAGAAAAAGAAAAGAAAAGAAAAAAAAAGAGTATAAAGGGGTTCTAAATCCAAAAAGTTAAGAACTGCAGCCACTGAACATTACTTTGGGCTAATTGGTCCAGAGGAATAATAATTAATAACACCAAAATTCACCAAAATGGGAAATATCATGTGTGGTTTTAGATAAAGGACCAGAGTAAAAGTTTCAAACCTACAAACTAGCCCACTGTTTAAAAGGTGAGATTACAATTTTCACCTATTAAATATGCCAATTTGTGAAAGTATAGAGAGAAAGGCAGTCATGGAGATGGTCAGTAGAATTATAAATTAGTACAAGCTCTTTCTAAACCAATGTGTTTATATTAAAAGCCTTAAAAATGTTTATGCTCCATAACTCATAACTCCTAAAAGCGTTCCCTTTTAGGAACGCTTTCTGAAACAAAATGAAATTTGGAGAGATTACATACAAGGATAGTTACTAAGCTTCAGATTAAGTAGCTAGCCCAAGGAACTAAGCCTAAATGGAGAAAATACTTCATGCACAAAGATGGTCATTACAAACTTATCTTCTCAAAATAGCAGAAATAACCTATAAAAATTTAGCTTTAGAAATAGCCAGGTATTTCTAAGAAAACTATAACTCATTATGACTGTTATAACGATATTATATAGCATAAAGTTGCAGAGTATTATTAATGTGAAATAATTCAATATTACTGAAAGAAAAAATATAAACATGAACATATTCAATCAGAACAATGTTTAAAAATATCTTTTAAGTAGGAAAAAATGGCTGAGCACAGTGGCTCATGCCTGTGATCCTAACACTTTGGGAGGCTGAGGCGGGTGGGTCACTTGAGCTCAAGAGTTTGAGAGCAGTATAGGCAACACAGTCAAACTCCATCTCTACAAAAAATACCAAAATTAACCGACGTGGTGGCTCAAGCCTGTAGTCCTCGCTATTCAGGAGGCTGAGGCAGGAGGATCACTTGAGCCCCCCAGGAGGTGGAGGTTGCAGTGAGCAGAGACGCACCACTGCACTCCAGCCTGGGCAACAGAATGAGACCCTGTATGAAAAAAAAAAAAGGAAAGAAAGAAAAATAAAAAGTAATTTCCTCTGGCCTCTTCTTTTATATACTTTTCAAATTTTAAGACTATTTATTAAGTTTTAGCAAAAATAAATATTTCAACACAATAAATTATGAACCATAAATTCTAATAATAATGCTGTCAATAGTTTTTCCCAGTAGGAAAGATAAAAATTGTTTTTCAAGTGTTTTACTTTACTCACTTATAGTCTCTCTCCCAGAATTTCACAGGTCGGACATATGAAGTGATGAATATTGCACTTCCCAGAAAGGGGTTCAGTGGAGTAGAGAAGAAGGCCGAGACAGCAGCCTGAATAAACAGCATGGCTGAATCTATGGGAAAACTAGTTAAGGACACTGACATTCATCTGAGCACAGATGCCAAACAAACCCTCGCAAAAACCTAGCAGACACATTTAGATTACCTCAATTAGAGAACTGAGGTTCACCAGAAGAATACAAAAGAAGGTATATCACTGGGCAGTCATTAAGGGGTCACCAACAGAAAGACATACATAAAGTACAACCTGGTATGCTGCTTTCAAAGGAGCCAAATCAGTATTTGCTAATATGTATTTGGTAAAATTCATATATTAATCTTGGGAAGAGATGTTAGAGTTCAATTTTCCACAAGGGTAAAACTAAAACTTGCAGATACCATAAGTCTGTCTTTCCATATCAATGTGGTTACTAACCCTTACTATTATTTAGAAAATACTTCTAAGAAATCGTGGGAGTAGAAAATTTTTTACAGAAGTTTAATTCTATCAATTTCATAATCATATTATGAAAAAATGTTTTGTACCTTCATTTATTAAAAAATAATGCTAAACATTTCTTGTATGTATTAAAGATTCCTGGACTTTAATATTCACATATGCAAATGTAAGATTTTAAATCAGCATTACTTTCTTACAAAACCTGTATAGTTTTCTTATGTTCAGATGATCTGTGGGCCACAGATGTTAATACAAGTTAAACAATCAACAATATAGGTGTGGATATAAAAGGTTATGATTTTTTTTTTTTTTTTTTTTTTTTTTTTTTGAGACAGAGTTTTGCTCTCGTTGCCCAGGCTGGAGTGCAATGGCGCAATCTCGGCTCACTGCAACCTCTACCTCCTGGATTCAAGAGATTCTCCTGCCTCAGCCTCCCGGGTAGCTGGGATTACAGGCATGTGCCACCACACCCGGCTCATTTAGTATTTTCAGTGGAGATGGGGTTTATCCATGTTGGTCAGGCTGGTCTCAAACTCCCAATCTCAGGTGATCCGCCCGCCTCGGCCTCCCAGAGTGCTGGGATTACAGGCGTGAGCCACTGCACCCGGCCAAGATTATGAATTTTTGATAATTCATTACACAGTAAACTTACACCATGAAAGGTCATGCCTATAAACCAACATTCTTATCTAGGATATGACTGTCCATTCTTATAAAACTTTAATTAGAAGGATACGAGGCACTGCAAAAGGCTGAGCAAAAGCATGGAAAGCAGAACCCCATGTGATCTGCCATGGGGCAATATAGGTATACACAAACTGCAATTTATAAAGTAGTTCCCAAAGCTGCAGGAGGAAAAGAATGGCTGTCAGTAAAAAAAAAAAAACTTATCAGATATTTGAATTAGAAAATAAAAACCCTGTAAAATGTATTAGGAGAAGTTCTCCTAATAGGGAAATGGCATTGAAATTATTTGCCATTTACATAACAGGAAAAGATATATCAACTGCCTAAACACTGCACTTATTTCTGAGTAAAGATACTTTATAAGTAAAGATAGGTAGCTATATATGGATTTATGTTTCATCTGTTTAAAAAAAATTCTATGCCTTCTACTGGCCATATTATGCTACTACAAGCAAAACAAAGTAAGGTAGAAAGCAGCCAAATAACTGTTCTTGAAAAAAACATTGGGAGATATACCTAATGCTAGATGATGAGTTAGTGGGTGCAGCGCACCAGCATGGCACATGTATACATATGTAACTAACCTGCACATTGTGCACATGTACCCTAAAACTTAAAGTATAATAATAATAAATAAAAAAAAAGAAAAAAAATCAAGATGTCTGCAAAGCTTAAGTAATACATATATTTATTTTATTCTAAGACACATTTTCCCCAAACTTTAGTGCTTTGGAAACTATGTTTTAAATGTAATGTCAAAAGGAATGTGAAAAACAGCATTTGTAATACAGTTGTCACTGCCTGTTTCCATAGAAATTTAGTTGTGTATACCAGGCATCTGTTCATAACCTTAATTGTTGTCAGTGGAAACAGGATACACATTTTAATTTCATTTAAGGTTGAATATGCCACAGTTGAACAGTTCTTCAATGCTGAAACAGAGTTGCTGTACTTGTCCAAGATTGCCTCTGCATGATTAAGCAACAATCACCTCATCCTTTAAAATACTTTAACTGATTTACAAACGAACTTAACTTCCAATTTAAAAAAGAAATCACAACTCCAACCAATTAAAAAATGTAGATGAACTGCAGTATTTTTGCCATGACTCAAAATTATTTTTGCCATGACTGAAAATTATGCAATCCTCGGCACTAATATAATCAGGATCATGGTAAGTAAAAGCAGCATGTATATCATCACGATGCCATTATAATGACTTAAAAGCAATGACTCAGAAAGCTCTTCAGAGTCTGTGAAACAAACTGTATTCCAATTTTGACTATAATATTAAAGAAAAGAACAATATGTAACAATATGTAAAGGATGGTAGGCAAAGGGATTTCTGTATACATTTAATTTTTCTTAAAAGGTTATTAAATCCATGATGTACCTTACAATGATATCTTAATGTAAAAAATGTATCTGAAGAAATCCCTTGAATATTACTGATTATCATTGTTAAATTCTATCTACTGACCAATTTAAATACAAACTCAAGGGGAAAGCTTTCTCTATTTTGTTCATTGGTGTAGCCTAAGCATCTAGAACAGTTCTAAAACAGTTTTTTGTTTTAAAAAATATATTTAACAAATAAAAAGTATTAAGAAAATCCAAACTAATGCAGAGTTAAGTGTAGCAACTACATTTCAAAGATTATTTACTTTATATTTTACTGCAACTTTCACTTTTTTCCAACCAGTATAAGATGAAATACAATTTTCAATCTAAATATTTGAGTTTGTGGGAAACCACATGCTTCTTTATACAATTCTCTGATTAATTTTCTGGCTTCCTCCTTTGGTTAATAACCATACTCACTAGAAGAGGAAATAAATGATAAAAATACAAATTAGTGACTGAACAGATATAATATTGAAATATTTTAGAAGCTATTTATCACAATACTGAAATTGACTATCAATGAAACTTTGCTCAAATTAACGGCTTTCCATTTTTACTGTTCCCCATCCTAGATCAGACTACTATCACATCTGAATTACTGTCATTATCGCTTAAGCTGTTCTCTGTACCTTTAGGTTCTCTCTTCCCCAAATGAAGCCAAATGTGGCTGACCAGGCTAACTTCCCTAAAACTGGAATTTCATTGTGTTTTGTAGCTGTTCATTTGCTTCAGCTCTCTGTTACCTATCAAATGGGATAATGTATGTCAAAGTCCTTTGTATGTGGTCAGTGTTAACATGAAATTGAATTACTATTTCACTGACAAATAATCTGACTGTACAGCCTATTTCACTGAGAAAGGTAGTGTGATTCAGCAAAAAGATTCTTGGGTTAGGAGGCAGAGGACCAAGGTTTTACCATCTTATTTGTAAAAGGCCTAGAACATCTATCTTATGGGTGGATAATGAATTTTAGCAGAAGCCTATAAAGTTCAGAGTATTCTGCAAATATCACATCAAGCTAATTTCTGACTGCTCCCACCTAGCCTCAGTCTCCTCAGCCTCTACCTGCTTCATTGGGCTATGCCAGAGCCCAATTCAATTATTACCACTTCTGTTTCTAAAATTATTCAAAACTATATACCTTTTGAGAGATTCTATATATTTTAAAATATACTTATTAATGTTTCTCTAATTGTTTTATGTAACTTTATCTTCTTAGCTATAGCAAGAAATATATCTTTTATAAATCACAGTGACTATCTTTGTTTAGGGATTCTAATGTGCTCCTAAATAACTGGTTGAAGAGAGTTATTACTTAAACAATAATAAATCACATGAAATATAAGAAAAATTCTGACTAGCATATAACCCAGGGAGATAGTTTTTATAGATAAGGATATTCCTTTCAGTGATAAATTACCTTGTTGAAGAGTATGGACATAAAGAAGAGATCCAACAGCATGGTCTCTGAAAAAGCTTCATAGTCAAATTTGAAAAACAGCACAGTAAAGATGACTGTAACATACTGATATGTAGGGCTGCTAAAAGAGGATCGTAGCAACTTCAAACCAGCAACAGTGATCATTAAAGCACCTAATCTGTGGCACAAAGAAAACACAAATCAACTCATGACTGAAAACATTAGAAGAGACAGTAACTTAAAATAAAATTCACCATTTACTTTACTAAGCTTATAATATATACATTAAATGTAAGCTTCCAAAAATGATGTATAGAGCTAGGTAAATCACATCCTGAAAGTATCTGACTATTCCCTTTTAATACTATTCATTATGATTCTTATCCTTTATATGAAGGACTATGTTTTAAAAATAATAGTATTGTAATTCTGACATCTGATTCTCTAGTTTCTCAATATTTCTATTACTTTAACACCAACTGCATTTAGCAAATGAAAAACATATTAATGCTTGACTCAACAATAGGTACCTACTCTATTGGGCAGGCTCATCGGATGACTATGGAGGCAACTGACCATCTATATGGTGTAAGTTACATAGTGCATCAAAATAGCCACATAATATTAAAAATTAACCTTATTTTAAAATGTCCTCTCATAAAATATCAATTGACAATGAGATGTCTGGAGTACAGAATATGCCAACAGCAGAAACAAATGTTTAAAAAAGGTAAGTCAAGGACAAAATGTCACCTAAATTTTTAATCTCACAGTGCCTTGCATGAAGGAAACAATTATTTAATATTTGATCAACAACTTAAGACATTGTTTATAACAGCCCCCAGTAGTCAGACAATATTAGAAGACTACTATACTTACTCTGTATTCAGTTTCTTTGGACTAGCAATTGTCTCTGCACTGCTGCTCAGTTCATTGAGAACAATCAATGGATAGATTATATTCTTCTCCACAAAAAGAAGCCACACATGAAGTTTCTCAAACCACATCATAGTGGCTGCATCTAACAAGGCAGTATAAATCAAGACTACATGTCATCAAATGTATAGTTTGTCAATGTGATGAGAAAGAAAAATTTTACAACAAATTTAGTACCAAACTACAAATAAACTGTTTTTAAAAAGCCAGTACTTTAATCAACTGTCAACTTCTATGAGCTCTGAGATACTTACAAATTTGCAACTTAGACATGATTTAACATTTAGATGAGTTTCCAACTTTAATTCTTGAAACCTCAGTTTTTAACCATAACTTTTCTCATTTATGCTTATAACTTATTGAAAAAAGATTACTGAAGATCATTAGATTGCTCTTTCCACCCAAAATAAATAAAAATATGGTATGATTTGAATTCACATACTTAAGAGCAGCTTTCATTGCCAATAATATTTTTTTCCAATGCTACAATATTATTTCATTGGGGAAAGTGTCTAGGATAAACTAAAAGATTTAAAACATGGTTCTTTGGCTATCTGAAAATAGCATCACCTGGCTTTAGGAAGTTCTCTAAGAAATAATATTTTTTCTTTCAGTTGCTAAAATCAGTACCAGAAAAAAAAACAACTTTGCTGTTAGTACTATAAATGTCAAAATGATATGCTGATTCAAAATTTGTAGACTACATGTTCTAAGATTTAAAAAATAAGATCAATAATTTATTTTAATGAAAAGTGTTGGTCTTTAAAACAAACTAGGTATGTGTCATCATTTATATATGAAAGCAGTAATAGTTCACCATTAAAAACATATCTCATTCTGAGTTATTTTCCTGATGGTATAAATGGGCCAATAAAGATTCTTATGCAGCTTCATGTCATTTTTATTTATTAGGAAGCTTTCAAAGGCTTCAGAGTTCTCTAAAAAAGTTATCTTCAAGCAACTGAATGATTTACTCTACAGTAATTAGCTAACTGAAAAAAAAAGTGTGAGAAAAAAGTTGGCTTATTTAATCATTGGTATATAATAAATTATGACACAGGTATGAACATTTATTATTTCTCTAAAATGAGGAAGTACAATATATTACAGATAATGGGGCCAATGAACAAGAACTGAATACTTATAACAGGAAAGAAATGTCAGGGTTTACAGTGGTAAGGAAAAAGCTTGGCAAGTGAACTAGCCTCTTTTCCATCCTTTTATACTTTATTGCAAATCTGAACTAATAACAGCTATTAAAAATGTTTTTAATTTCTTTTTACTTTGTCAACTCTTTTACACTTTTCTCTGGTAGGACACAGTGTCTCTGGCAGAAACAGGAACAAAGACCTTTCTTCCTCCCTACGCATTAAGTTAAAACTATTTCAAATAGAGAGGCCTTAAAGAGGATTGGATTGCCTGTATATGGCATTGAAAACTAATTAGGGGGAAGAGTAGGGTCAGGAAAGAGAAGTAATGGACACACAAAGGAGGATTCATCAATGAGAAGTCTGTGAAGAACAATTTAGAGAGGGGAGAAGTAAGTTTCTTCTGTGGAAAACTGGCACTGTAGCACTGATACTCATATTTCAGCTAAATTAAAGCATCCTGCAAGAGACTAGATTCATTAACGGCTTCAAACTTAAGCAAAAGAAACACAAGCCAAATGTTCTGTTATGATATTCACTTAACTCAGTCATCTATCAATATAGCAAAGGGAAAAACTCATAGTATTAAAAAGAAAAAGTGCTAATGAAATACTTACTTCGAACTTCATACTGATTATACTCTAGTGTCTTTAGCAGAGGATGAGAGAAACAGTGCCATGGTAGCTGTTTTCTAACTTGAGGCAGCACATAATGGGTTACAAAACCCACAAAGCCAACCAATGTATACAACACATACTTGAGGGCAGGCTAAAAAAAATAATAGAAGTGATAAAATTAGGAGTGATTTTGAGACTCATTGTAGAAATTCTAATTTGTCAGTTCAATTTTCCATCTGATAATGGACAACGTCCATTTTAGAATATAAGAACTAAACATTTTTCTACAGTTAACATTTCTAAATTATGTAGTTTGTTCTAATCAGCCTTGAAAGTTAGTGACTATTCATACATCACAGATATTTTGAAACGGGTTAACTACTTTCTCTGGTGTCTTACACTATTGTATAATGAGAGAGTGGCCTAAGGTGTATTGCCTATTACATGAATGTTCTATGAGATGTTCAGAGCAATGTATTAAATTGTTTTCAGCAGCAGAGATAATGGGGTAAGGTGGGGTCCACCCGGAACAGTTGGCTGAGTGCACTGTTTCACAGTACATGGCTTAGCACACGGTTATGTGCCTGTCCCACAGCATGGAGGCCCCGGTGCCCTGCAGCCGCTGGCTTTGGTCACTGTGGTGGTGTCATCTATAACCATCACTGACCTGTTCATCACAGCCAGCAGAGCCCAGTATCTCCACTGCTACCCCTCATGCTTCGCAGGAGGGTCATCTGTTCCTTCCTGGATTGCATCACCAATTACAACAAGGCCTAAAAGCTTGATGCATACTTGTCCAAGTGCACAGGACAGAGACCATTTGTGACTATGAAGGTTGTGGCAAGACTTTCAACAGGGATTGCCATCTGAGCTGCCATATCCTGATTCATACTGGAGAACAATCATTTGTTAGAAAGATCTATGCATCTTGAAACTTTTCTTCCCTGCTACCACCAATAGCCAAGTATGCCGACTGTAGACCAAAGGACCAGCCTGCCCAGACCCAACATCACAAGCGCCCACGTATGCCAACCCATAGACCAAGGACTAGCACACCCAACCCACTGCAGCCACTACTGGCACCTGAGGACTAGCCTACCTAGCATCCGTACCCCTAGCAATGCCTCACCACAGCCTCTATTAACAAATGCAGCCTAAGTCACTAAGGAATTCACAGACATCACTATCACTAATTACAGTCAAAGAAATCATACGGAGAGTACACTACCGTGCACAACCAGAACCAAAGCCAAAGCATCCTGTCCAATCAACACTATAGATATATCTAAAGGAAACAGTCTTTCTTTCCAAATGACAATCCATACAATTGGAAAAACTGTTATATCAGATGTGCAGATATCAATGTAAGGACACAAGAAACATGAAAAAGCAAGAAAATGTAACACCTCCAAAGGAACATAATAATTTTCCAGTAACAGATACCAAAGAAAAGGAAATCTATGAATTGTCTGAAAAAGAATTCAAAATAATGATATGAAGGAAACTCAGTGAGATACAAGAGAACACATATGAATAATACAAAGAAATGAGGAAAACAATTCATGACCTAAATGAGAAACTCAACAAAGAGATATTTCATAAAAGGGAACCAAACAGAAATTCTGGAACCGAAGAATTCAACAAATAAAATAAAAAATATAAGCAAGAACTTCAACAATAGATTAGATCTAGCAGAAGAAAGAATTTCTCAACTTTAAGATGGATCTTAAAAAAACAAACCAACCAACCAACCCCAGGAAGGAAGGAAGGGAGGGAGGGAGGGAGGGAGAGAGGGAAGGAGGGAGGGAAAAGCTTACATGATATATGTGACAGTGCAAAAATGACCAAATATTTAAATTTTGGAGTTTCTAGAAGAAATGGCAAAGGCATAGAAAGCCTATTTAAGGAAATAATAGCTGAAAATTTCCCAAGTCTTAGAGGAAATACAGACATCTAGACACAGGAAGCACAAAGTTTCCAAATACAATTCACCCAGTGAGGTCTTTTCCAAGGCACATTATAGTCAAACTGTCAAAAGTCAAAGACAAAAAGAGAATTCTGAAAACAGCAAGAGAAAAAGGGTTAAGTTACATACAAGGAAACCCCCATTAGACTAACATCTAATTTCTCAGTAGAAACCTCACAAGCCAGAAGACACTGAGGTGACACATTCGAAGTGCTGAAAGAAAAAAACTCTTCAGCTAAAAATACTATACCAAGAAAAGCTTTATCCTTCAAAAATGAAGGAGAAATAACATCTTTACCAAAAAGCAAAGACTAAGGAATTTATTACCACTAGGCTGGCTCTACAAGAAATTATTGAGTCCTATAATTAGAAGCAGAAGGATGATATCACCATCATGAAAACACAGGAAAGGATAAAAACATTGATAAAGAAGATAAACAAATGATTTTTTTAAGTCAAATGTTATTACTACAAAAAACCAATCAAATTGAAGAGTAAACAATAAAAGAGGAAGAAAGGAACAAAGGATATGTAAAACATTCAGAAAACAATGAACAAAATGATGGGAGTATGCCTCCACCTAGCAAAAAACCCTGAATGTAAATGGCTTAAATTCCCCAGTTAAAAGATATAGACTGTCCAGATGTGTATCCTGATGTCAACAAAAATAAATAAATAAAAATACACTCTGCTTAAATTTTTTTTTTTTTAAAAACAGCCAATTATATGCTGCCTACAGGAAACTAACTTCACCTGTAAACACACACATAGATTGAAAGGGAAGAAATTTAAAAATATATTCCAGGCATACAGAAACCAAAAGCATGCTGGCGGAGCTATACTTGTATCAGACAAAATAAACTGCAAGTCAAAAGACATGAAAAGAGACAAAGAAGGTCGTTATATAATAATAAAGGGATCAATTCAGAAAAGGGTATAACAATTATAAACATACATGCACCCTACACCAGAGCACCCAGATACATAAGGCAAATATTATTAAAGCTAATGAGATAGACCCCAATAGAGTAATAGTTGGGAACATCAACACCTCGATTTCAACATTGTACAGATCACCTAGACAGAAAATCAACAAAGAAATATCAGACTTAGTCTGCACTACAGAACAAATGGACCTAGCAGACATTTATGTCATCCAATAGCTGCAAAATACACACTGTCCTCATTAACACATGGGACATTCTCCAAGACAGACTATATGTTATGCAACGAAACAAGTCTCAACAAATTTTTAAAAATTGAAATCATATAAAGTTATCTTCTCAGACCATGATGAAATAAAACTAAAAATAAATAACAAGAGGAACTTTGGAAACTGTACAATTAAATGGACATTAAACAATGTGCTCCTGAATGAACACTGGGTCAATGAAGAAACTGAAAATAAAATTTAAAAATTTCCAATACAAATGAAAATACAACATACTAAAACCTATGGAATATAGCAAAAGCAATGCTAAAGGGAAGTGTATAGTATAGTATAGTATAGTATAGTATAGTATAGTATAGTATAGTAGCAATAAATGCCTCCATCAAAAAAGTAGAAAGAGTTCAAACAACCTCATGATGTACCTCAAGGAACTAGTAAGAAAGGTAAGAGCAGAAATAAACGAAATTAAAATGAACAAACAATACAAAAGATCAAGGAACCAAAAAGTTGGCATTTTGAAAAGATAAATAAAATTGACATACCTTTAGCTAGAAAAAGAAAGAAATACCCAAATAAATAAAATCAGAGATGAAAAAGGAGATATTACGATTAATAGCGCAAAAATTCAGAGTATCATTAGTGGCTACTATGAGTAACTATATGTGAATAAATTGGAAAATCTAGAGAAAATGGATTAATTCCTAGACACATACAACCTAACAAGATTGAAAAATGAAGAAATCCAAAAGCTGAACAGACCAATAACAAGTAAAAAGATCAAAGCCATAATAAAAAGTCACCCAGTAAAGAAAAGCCCAGGACCAGATGGCTTCACTGCTGAATTCCTCCACTGTTGCTGGGAATATAAATTAGTACAACCACTACGGAGAACAGTTTGGAAGTTCCTGAGAAAACTAAAAATAGAGTTACCATATTATCCAGCAATCCCAATGCTGGATATATACTCAAAAGAAAGGAAATCAATTTTATTGAAGGGATATCTGTACTCATGTTTGTTGCAGCACTGTTCATATTAGCCAAGATTTGGAGGCAACCTAAGCGTCCATCAACAGATGAATGAACGGATAAAGAAAATGTGGTACATATACACAATAGAGTACTATTCAGCCATAAAAAAGAATGAGATTTTGTCATTTGCTATACCATGGATGGAACTGGAGGTCATTATGTTAAGTGAAATAAGCCTGGTACAGATGTTCTCACTTATTTGTGGGAGCTAAAAATTAAAACAAATGAACTCACGGAAATAGAAAGTGGAAGGAAGCATGGTTATCAGCGACCGGGAAGGGTAGTAGGGGTGGTGGGGGGAGGTAGCAATGGTTAATGGGTACAAAAAGTGTAGAAAGAATGAACAAGATCTAGTATTTGATAGCACAAGAGGGTAACTATAGTCAATGCTCATTTAATTGTACATTAAAAATAACTAAGAGTATAACTGTATCATAACACAAAGAACAAATGCTTGAGGGGATGAATACCCCATTTACCATGTAATTATTACACCCCATTTACCATGTGATTATTACACACTGCATGCCTGTATCAAAGTATCTCATGTACCCCATAAAAATATACACCCATTATGAAAAAAATGAAGAACGTTTAGAGGAATAATGGCCAAAATTTTCCAAATTTAATGAAAACTGTAAACCACAGATTCAATAAACCCCAAGCACAAAGACATGAAGAAAACTATGTGAAGGTACATCATAATCAAATTTCTAAAACCTAGTGATAAAAAGATAATCTTCAAGCAGTACAGAAAAAAAGTTATCTACATAGCAATAAATTCAGTCAGAAGCAATAAAAGGGAGAAGACAGTGGAGCAACATCTTCATGTACTAAAAGAGAAAAAACCTGTCATCCTAGAATTTTATACCCAATGAAGTATCTTTCAATACCAATAGCGAAATAAGGACTTATTCAGAGCTACAAAAGCCAAGGAAAGTTGCAGATTTTCACTACAAGAAATGTCCTAGGACAGCAAGAAAGGGGGATTTTAAACTGGAGAGGAGGCAGGGTGCAGTGGCTCACACCTGTAATCCTAGCACTTTGGGATGCCAAGGCAGGAGGATCACTTGAGCTCAGGAGTTCTAGACCAGCCTGGGCAACATAGTGAGACTTCATCCCTAAATAAAAGAGAAATGTCCTAGGAAATCTTTCAAGCAGGAGGAAAAATGACACCAAATGGAAACATGGATACCCACAAAATAATGCAGGGCACTAAACATGGTAATTACATGCCCTACAGATGAAAGACATAGTCCTTGATGAGCTGTACTTAAGGAACAACACCTAAGAAGCCTTACCCATACCTGAACCTGATTTAGATAATAACATTCTAGACTTCCAACTGTACTGGAATGAGACTTTTCGGGGTTTTAGGAGAGGGTATGTGCACTTTGCATATAGAAGGGATGTCGATCATGGAGGTCTACTGATGGACTGTGGTAGTCAGCTTCTGAAATGCTTCCCATGATCCTTGCCTCTTGCTTTTGTACTTGAGTATATTCTCTTCTCACAATGTACCAGGGTTAGTCTATGTGCACAACAGAATATGGAAGAAATGGTGGCATGTCATTTCCAATACCAGGTTATAAAAGAGTACAGCTCCTGTCTTGGGCTTTCTCTCTCAAGGACCACTTGCTCTGGGGGAAACCAGCTGCCATTTTGTGAGTACAGTTAGGCAGCCTATGGTGAGGACCACATGGAGGGGAACTGAGGTCTCCAGCCAATAGTCAGAAGGAACTGAGGCATGTAAACAGTGAACCTCAGATGATTTTAGCATCATGAAAGATCCTGAGCTAGAAGCATCCAGCAAAGCCACTCCCAGATTCATAACCCAGAGAAATCATGAGAAAATAAGTATTTGGTTTTTTTTGTTTTTTTAATTTTTTTTTTTAATTATACTTTAAGTTTTAGGGTACGTGTGCACATTGTGCAGGTTAGTTACATACGTATACATGTGCCATGCTGGTGTGCTGTACCCATTAACTCGTCATCTAGCATTAGGTATATCTCCCAATGCTATCCCTCCCCACTACCCCCATCCCACAACAGTCCCCAGAGTGTGATGTTCCCCTTCCTGTGTCCATGTGATCTCATTGTTCAATTCCCACCTATGAGTGAGAATATGCGGTGTTTGGTTTTTTGTTCTTGCGATAGTTTACTGAGAATGATGATTTCCAGTTTCATCCATGTCCCTACAAAGGACATGAACTCATCATTTTTTATGGCTGCATAGTATTCCATGGTGTATATGTGCCACATTTTCTTAATCCAGTCTATCATTGTTGGACATTTGGGTTGGTTCCAAGTCTTTGCTATTGTGAATAATGCCACAATAAACATACGTGTGCATGTGTCTCTATAGCAGCATGATTTATAGTCCTTTGGGTATATACCCAGTAATGGAATGGCTGGGTCAAATGGTATTTCTAGTTCTAGATCCCTGAGGAATCGCCACACTGACTTCCACAATGGTTGAACTAGTTTACAGTCCCACCAACAGTGTAAAAGTGTTCCTATTTCTCCACATCCTCTCCAGCACCTGTTTCCTGACTTTTTAATGATCACCATTCTAACTGGTGTGAGATGGTATCTCATTGTGGTTTTGATTTGCATTTCTCTGATGGCCAGTGATGGTGAGCATTTTTTCATGTGTTTTTTGGCTGCATAAATGTCCTCTTTTGAGAAGTGTCTGTTCATGTCCTTCGCCCACTTTTTGATGGGGTTGTTTGTTTTTTTCTTGTAAATTTGTTTGAGTTCATTGTAGATTCTGGATATTAGCCCTTTGTCAGATGAGTAGGTTGCGAAAATTTTCTCCCATTTTGTAGGTTGCCTGTTCACTCTGATGGTAGTTTCTTTTGCTGTGCAGAAGCTCTTTAGTTTAATTAGATCCCATTTGTCAATTTTGGCTTTTGTTGCCATTGCTTTTGGTGTTTTAGACATGAAGTCCTTGCCCATGCCTATGTCCTGAATGGTAATGCCTAGGTTTTCTTCTAGGGTTTTTATGGTTTTAGGTCTAACGTTTAAGTCTTTAATCCATCTTGAATTGATTTTTGTATAAGGTGTAAGGAAGGGATCCAGTTTCAGCTTTCTACATATGGCTAGCCAGTTTTCCCAGCACCATTTATTAAATAGGGAATCCTTTCCCCATTGCTTGTTTTTCTCAGGTTTGTCAAAGATCAGATAGTTGTAGATACGCGGCGTTATTTCTGAGGGCTCTGTTCTGTTCCATTGATCTATATCTCTGTTTTGGTACCAGTACCATGCTGTTTTGGTTACTGTAGCCTTGTAGTATAGTTTGAAGTCAGGTAGTGTGATGCCTCCAGCTTTGTTCTTTTGGCTTAGGATTCACTTGGCGATGCGGGCTCTTTTTTGGTTCCATATGAACTTTAAAGTAGTTTTTTCAAAAATCCTCAATAAAATACTGGCAAACCGAATCCAGCAGCACATCAAAAAGCTTATCCACCATGATCAAGTGGGCTTCATCCCTGGGATGCAAGGCTGGTTCAATATATGCAAATCAATAAATGTAATCCAGCATATAAACAGAGCCAAAGACAAAAACCACATGATTATCTCAATAGATGCAGAAAAGGCCTTTGACAAAATTCAACAACCCTTCATGCTAAAATCTCTCAATAAATTAGGTATTGATGGGACATATTTCAAAATAATAAGAGCTATCTATGACAAACCCACAGCCAATATCATACTGAATGGGCAAAAACTGGAAGCATTCCCTTTGAAAACTGGCACAAGACAGGGATGCCCTCTCTCACCACTCCTATTCAACATAGTGTTGGAAGTTCTGGCCAGGGCAATTAGGCAGGAGAAGGAAATAAAGGGTATTCAATTAGGAAAAGAGGAAGTCAAATTGTCCCTGTTTGCAGATGACATGATTGTATATCTAGAAAACCCCATTGTCTCAGCCCAAAATCTCCTTAAGCTGATAAGCAACTTCAGCAAAGTCTCAGGATACAAAATCAATGTGCAAAAATCACAAGCATTCCTATACACCAGCAACAGACAAACAGAGAGCCAAATCATGAGTGAACTCCCATTCACAATTGCTTCAAAGAGAATAAAATACCTAGGAATCCAACTTACAAGGGATGTGAAGGACCTCTTCAAGGAGAACTACAAACCGCTGCTCAAGGAAATAAAAGAGGATACAAACAGATGGAAGAACATTCCATGCTCATGGGTAGGAAGAATAAATATCGTGAAAATGGCCATACTGCCCAAGGTAATTTACAGATTCAATGCCATCCCCATCAAGCTACCAATGCCTTTCTTCACAGAAAATAAGTATTTGTTGATTAAAAAAACAAATAAAAAGTCATGTATTTCAGCACTACGGACAAATATTAAAATCGAATCAGAAATAAGTCCAAACAAAGTTATAGTCCTGCTTAACAACAGGATACGTTATGAGAAATGTGTGTTTAGGCAATGTCATCATCGTGCAAACATCACAGTGTACTTACATAGATAGACAAGATAGTATAGCCTACTATCACTGAGGCTATGTGGTAGAGCCTATTGCTCTTAAGCTACAAAAATGTATAGTATGTTACTGTACTGAATACTGTAGGCAACTGTAACACAATGGCAAATACTTGTGTATCTAAACATATACAGGCTGGGTGAAGTAGCTCACATCTGTAATTCTAGCACTTTGGGAGACTGGGGCAGGAGAAATGCTTGAGCCCAGGAGTTTGAGACCAGCTCGGGCAACACAACAAGACTCAGTTTCTACAAAAAAAGAAGAAAAAATTCTTTAAATTAGCCTGGTGTGGTGGTGCACAACTGTAGTCCTAGCTACGTGGGAGGATCACTTGAGCCCAGGGATTCAAGGTTAGAATGAACTGTGATCGCAACACTGCACTCCAGCCTGGGTGACAGAGTGAGACCCTGTCTCAAACAAACAAACAAATAAAAGGAGAAAATGATTCCTTACCTGCAATACTGTGAAGACTGTGCTTACATGAATAGCAAAATACAGCACACCAATTACAATGCATACTACCAGGTCAGACTGTAATCGCTCACTCTGTGGGGAAAAAAAAGAATTATTAAACAATTACATAAAATTTTTAAAAATCTTTTTCCTTTATTCCCAATTGGCAAAGTTTAAGAATTAATTTTTTGCCTGGCTAGCTCAGTCAGTATTAAAGAAAAAAAAAAAGAAGTTTTCATTGATACTTTAACACTTCTAGAGTCTCTCTTTCTCTAAGATGGAGTGCAGTGGGACAATTTTGGCTCACTGCAACCTCCACCTCCTGGGTTCAAGCGATTCTCCTGCCTCAGCCTCCCAGGTAGCTGGTCGTGCCACCACACCCCACCATACCCAGCTAATATTTTGTATTTTTAGTAGAGACAGGGTTTCACCATGTTGGCCAGGCTGATCTCGAACTCCTGACCTCAAGTGATATACGCCCATCTTGGCCTCCCAAAGTGCTGGGATTACAGGTGTGAGCCACCACACCCCACCATACCCAGCTAATATTTTGTATTTTTAGTAGAGACAGGGTTTCACCATGTTGGCCAGGCTGATCTCGAACTCCTGACCTCAAGTGATATACGCCCATCTTGGCCTCCCAAAGTGCTGGGATTACAGGTGTGAGCCACCACACCTGGCCACACTTCTAGATTTCTTACACATAATAATTAACCACAAAAAATCTTATTTTCTTCCTCAATTTCCTCATATTTTGGCTTTGACACTGTAATACCAAAGAAATTGAACAACGTATCTAGTTCTGCATGCCGTATAACATATTGCAATAAAGTCTTTTAGAATGAAGATTTTATTCCCCCATTGGTAAGTTTTACTTTCACATATGGGGAAAGGAAATAAGGTACCTTAAGTTACTGTAATTTTTTGTTTGTTTTTGAGACAGGGTCTCACTATGTTGCCCAGGCTGGAGTGCAGTGTCTATTCACAGGTATAGTCATTGTACACTAGAGCTCAGAACCCCTGAGCTCAGGGGATCCTCCAGCCTTAGTCTCCCAAGTAGCTGAATTACAGGCACACACCACCACTCCTGACCACGGTGTCATTTATAGGGGTATATCCCTTTGGATAACTTATATCTTCATTGGTCTTTTGACATGTGAAAACTGTGTGCTTAAGTCCTATTTTACTTATTAGATTTTGGTTCCATCAGTGGTCATAGAAAAACCAGAAACCTCTTGATCTCTTTGGTCATCAACTGACCTCTTAGATTTATGCTTATAAGCCAGATTCAGAATATCCTACTATACGTAACATGAAACATCCTCTGCCAACATGGAAACTAAAGTTAGAAAAAAGTCATTCTAATATCTTGATATAGTTTTGTATTTCTAAAGTTTCTGAAAAAAATATGTGAACAGGTCAAGTGCACTGAAAGTAAATGTGTCTAATTCAACATCTACATAAATTCAGTCTTTTGCAAAGGAAAATGACCTAAAACTGAGAAAAAGATTTTGTTTTATTCCATAAATAGACACAATTTTACAGAATTCATTTTTCAAATAATTACTAAAAGAATACAAGCAACATTACAATTCACCAAATTAGAAAATTTAAAAAATTACTGCGTTTACTTAAGTACATTAATACAGGTTATTGTTCTCTCCTTCAGCCTAGAATACACACACAGTTTTCAGATGGGCCTTGAGAAATAAAACAACCTAAAAGACTAATAAATGACTTACAGAGACATAGTTTTTTTCAACAACAAGATGAACAACAACAACAAAATGAATCTAATTTGTGTTAATGCTAATCTTTCAGATCCTAGTCTAAATCAAATAGGAGTAAAAATTCTATGGCCAATGAAATGACTTAATTTCACCTGACCTAAAAATAAATGTTTAGTATTCTGTTCTACACACAAACCAAGTCTGAGGAATGAGCATTTCTTATATGTTAATATTTGGAATAAAGACAATCAACAATGTACAACTAATCCTATAAATTATAATTATACATTTTTCTCCAATTACTAATGACTTTCAAAAAGTGTTCCTCATATAACATGATCAACTGTCTAAGATTTAAGTCTTTTAGGTGATTCTAAATGTTAAAACTTACAACAGAATTTCTAAGTTTTTCAGGCAGTGGATCTTTTACTTCAGATAGAGGGTCTTCTGGATTTTTCTCTTCCGTTTTTGGAAAAATCTTGGATTGCACTAAAGAGCTTTATGTGAAGAAAAAAAAACAGAAAATACATAGATAATCTGAAAACCAGTAATTCAAACGGGCAATGAAGTTTATGATAGAAAACCAAATGATTCGAGTATATTTAATCATTACCAAATGAGAAATTCTAAAATGTTTAGGATACCATAAATAAGCATACAGTGAAAATATTTTTATTAAAACATAGTTTCAATAATTGGGAAGGAAAACACTAATATTCTCAGCCAACCTGATTTGAATAACCCAAAATTATTATATTTTGAAACTTAATATAGATTAGGCCAAAGCACTTTGGAAAGGCATTGGGAAAAAGAGATCTTCAAAGGTATTTGAAAAAAACACCAACTTACTTAAATTTCTTTTAATTCAATAACAATTGAGTTCACTTACAAAAGTACAGATGGATCACTGCTTTGTCGGCTGAGATGGTAAGACACTGCCACTAATAAACCACAAAAAATGGAGAAAAGTACTGGAATATGCTGGCCATCCCAAGAATCCTGCGGAAAAATGAATTTAACAGAATAATATGCTTCTAATTTGTAATATATCACATAATCCTTTTATGTACGTATTTTGGAAAAAGACAACGAACTTAAATTCAACAAAAGTTTTTAGCCACGTTATTAATTGCATTTTATTCCAGAAAAATTTAGATTTATTACTTTCTGATGAGTTAGAATCTGGCCACTAAATGTCTTTGGTACTAAAGCTACAGATGTTTTTGGGGGGAGGGCACTAAAGCTCTACTCATACATGAGGAATAATTTGCTTTTGATGCATGAGGCTATCAATTCTTTCACATTTTAAGTGCTATTGTTTGTGGTAAACTGTGTTCCTTTTGGAAGAATAAGATATCTTGGCATAGTAAATTTTAGATACAATAATAAGAGTAGGAAAAGACAACACATGATATATTAGGCAAAAGAAAAGTCTGACATTTGGTGTGTTACTTTCTTGATGCCTTTGCCCATGTAATAAACTACTATGTCCTCCACAGCACTGAGCAGGCATTCAGTAACTGTTTTTTGAATGAATGACTGCATATACCCAGAAGGAAATACTACAAAGGCTATCTTCCAAAGCCAACCACACGTGGTCACTCCGTATGAGCTCTGCTCATTGTAGCATCTCTGGAGTCTATCAGCATGATACCTGGCAGAGAATGGGCAATACACTAACTGGAACAGGTAACAGTTCTTAAGTATGTCCTGTGAGGCAGACAATACTCTAATCCTTCATTGTTCTCTGGAGATTCAGAAAGGAAACATGGTAGGAGTGGGGACCCAAACGGCAGTTTTTAATACAACTTGCCTTTTTTCCACTTAAAAGTAGACTTGGGAATTGTTTCACATCATAACACAGACATTTTATTTTTTTAATAGCTACATCAAAACCTTATCATCATATTGAACACTGTGTAGAGCTGCATCCTTAGATCTTTGTATTTCCCAAATAATTTTTACAATAACCTTGAAAATATGTACTATTACCCCCCAATTTATAGATGAGAAAACTAAGGCACAGAAGAGGGTTTAAGTAATTTGTCCAGTTAAGTGGCAGAGCCAGAAAGTGAACTCTTGACATGTTTGAATGTACTGAAAAGAAAGTTAATATCTTAAGAGCTTGAGAATGAAAGGGAGATAAATACATATGAAAGCAAAGTATAGGAGAAAACAAAAGATATGAAGGAAGAGCATTTACACAGTGATAATAAAGCAAACACATCAGGTATATGAGGGAGACAAGAGAGGCTACATGTGTAGTGCAGGCTGGGGTGAGAGAAAGTAAGTCAAGCCTCTGGGAGACCCTCTCTTGAGCGACCTGCTTTCTCAGCATGAGGAAACTTTCTCTCTCTCTCTCTTCTTCTTTGTCTATTAATCTTTCCACTCTTAAACCCACTCCTTGTGTGTGTCCGTGTCTTGAATTCTTTCTTGGCATGAGACAATGAACCACAGTGCCTAGAAAGAGCCATGAAGTTTGCCTTTGGGGAGTTCCGCCTGTGGTACCAGTTTGCTCTGTCCCTGATGGCTGCTGGAAAATCTGCTCGTGCTGTGAAAGTGCTGAAACAGTGTGTCTACCTGAAGCCAGACGATGCCACCATCCCTCTCCTCGCTGCCAAGCTATGCATGGGCTCCCTGCACTGGTAGGAAGAGGCTGAGAAGTTTCCCAAAAATGTCGTTGATGTGAGAGAGAAAACATCAGAGTTCAAGGCCAAAGGCCACTTAGCTCTGGGGCTCATGTACAGACGTGAGCAGGACCTACTGACGGTGAGAGACGTCCCACCCACAGAGCTGTTGAGCTGCAGAGCTGGGCTGCCTAAGTCTATTGTGCAGGATTAGACTGAGTCCCCTTCTGTCTCAGGAGGTTGTTGAAGTTGGGGCATTCTTGTGTGCTGTCCTGTGGGGCCCTAGGTGCTGCTGTCCTCTTTGTTTGGTCTGACGGGAGAATGGGAGGGCAGGAAGGAAGGTCCTGTGCCAGGGCTTCTGGACCTTGTTTTCAGGTGCATTATGCTGTTGGTGCACTGGGCACCTTGCTGGGCTTTGAGGGATGATTTGCCCACTCAGCCTTGTACCTGCACACCTGTCCCAGCACTTGGCCTGGGGTCCCCCACACCAAGTGCTAGGAAGGGATGTTGGATTTGAGGTATAAGAATGTAGATGAGTCAGGGACAGACACTTCCAGGGAGCTTCCCTTGACTGGTCAGGAAATGCCCCTTCTCCATTTGCATATTTGCACATTTGCACATTTTAATTCGCAGATATGTACATGTGCAGTGTAGCAGCTCACCAGACACCCAGGGCTCTTGGGCACAGTGATTTTGGGTGTGCTTAGAGTTTTGGTGGAAGGGCTTCTGGCTAAGAAAAAAGTCTTGTATACTTGGTGAAGTTTTCAGTGATGTTTGCAGAAAGTTTAAATTAACAACCTTTTTCTGAACTGTTACTATTCTTTAATAATGTTGTTAAACATAACACAAATGTAAAAAAAAGAAATCTCAGAAACAAATGGATAACTTAATGAATTTGAATTAGTATAAGGCAAAATATCCTTATAACCATCATCCTGCTCAGGACCTCATTTATGATGATGAGGGAAGGGATATGGGAGACAAAAGCCATAAATTCCTGGACGTAAGCAGGGAATTTGGCTTTGAGCTGCTTAATGGCCAAGGGAAATTTTAAAAATAACACTGGTTATATGGGGAAAAAACAAAAAGCCAAAACCAAAATGCATTCTAGATTTCTTAGGAAAACAAACAAGAACTGGCTGTCATCAAGATTTAAAAGAAACATCTTGATTGAGTCTTTACAGAAGGGACACTAAACAAAGCATTGAAGGACATCAACATTACAGCCCCATGATAAAGGGACCGCTGTTTTCTTACACACACCCTTGGAAGGTGCCTCCGTGCAAATGGCAGGCATAATGCTGAAGGGAAACGTGGGCAAGGAAACCCTAGAGGTGGCCAGACAGCCTGGTCCAAACATGCAGCTCTCGGATGGTTTAACCTAATCTAGGCACGTAAACTAGAATACTCTGAGGAATAAATGGACCACATGCATTCTAAACAAGCTTCTAAAAAAAAAGAAAGAAAGGAAGTCAAGCCTCCAACTTTCATAAAGGGCAGTCCACAGGTTCTGCTGAAGCTGTCAGAAAATGTAAGAAGCAGAAATGAAAGGTAGATCTATACAGGTAAATGCCAAAAAGAATCAGTTAAAAATAGTAAGTCTGAGGAAGGTAAAACAGGTTAGGAGATTGCTGTTCTTGCTATAAGTCTTGTAAAACTATTTGACACTGTGATATATGAATGTACAACTCTGATAAAAATTAAAACTAAAAAAACCAAAAGATGTCCAGCACAACGACTTTGGAAAACTGTTAATTCCATTTCTAGGTATTTACCCAAGAGAAATGAATACACATGTCCACAAAAAGACTTGCAAGATGATATTCACAGCAGGCTTATTCATAATATTCCTCAACTAGAAACATCTCAAATGAGCATCTCTAACACAGCAGGTAAACTGTGATATAGTCATACAATGTGGGTAAGAAGAAATTAAAACTAAATGATCCAGCCTTTGCTTACCTTTCTAGCCTTAGAGGAATGACCTTAGATGTCATCTTTCCTCATGTACCCAAACCTCCAGAAATTCCTAATCATTTGCCATTTCCTCTACACAACACATTTTCTTTACAAGTCCATGGGTCTTCATTTCTTGTTTCAATTAGCTAATGCCTATTTGATCTTCAAAATCTGGTTATATCACCTTCCTGGAAAATTGTCTTTAATCCCTTTTGGCAGAATAAAGTAGTCTTAATTTGTACACCCACAGAACTGTTTTCATAACCTTCGTTACACTGTCTTGAACATGCTGGCTGACTTGTTAATCATAGCTAATCTACAAGCTCCTTCAAAGCAGAAAATGGTTTAGCATAGTACCTGGTACACATAAATGCTCTATAAATGCTACTTAAATGAGGCAAGGAAGGATCTGTGAGTCACTTGTCATAGTCCTTTCAACCCTACCATTCTCTGATTGTCTTGCACTAGTCGCCAAACAAAAAACAAAAATAAACCACAAGTATGCATGAGGAGCTGAAAGCTGTCTACAAAAATTTTTAAATTTTTATGTTTACAACTTGTTGACAATCTTTTAAAGGAAAGTTCATAAGGCTCATCCAGATCTTCTAACCCAATAATGACGTTAAATTTCAGTATATTACTTTTTATTAGCATGTATCTTAAATTGCAGTCCTTGAACTTGTTTTTATAAGTTTAAAAAAACTAATAGGAAAAGTAGTTAAATTCTTAACTAGAATTTTAAAATTGATTTCATATTCTGTAATTACTATGCCTACCCTTATACCAGATGAGCCTAGTTTTCAATAATCTGTTTCTAATATTAACCTACGACTACTGCAGGAAAAATAATTTTCTTTTAGTAATGGTTAACTATTAAACTACTTTCAAATTCAAAGTAGTTGAGAATGAGAATAATGTTTAACATATGAAGACCATGAAAATTAATGCTAAGCGATACCAGGGGAAGAAATCATTATTAGTTGATTTTAAAACAACCTTCATATAGAAATATAGCCTTAAAGACAAAACATACTATAATTTATTGCTCACCTTTAAAGCCCCATAACATAATCCATACAATAAGGCTACTGCAACAATGCTACAGATAAAACTGTAAAGTGCTGCAAGCAGGCTTGTAGTGGCTAGACAGGAAAAGGAAAAGGTAAGAAACATTTTATAAAAATATATGAAAATAATTAAAAGGTCACTGAAAAGCATTTAAAATATTATAATGTCAACTATCATTAAATATCTACTAATCTGAATTTCAGAAATTCAGTTACTTCATTATTTCTTTCAAAAAGATTTTGACATGAACAGAGATTTGCTATCCTGAGTCTTTGTTACGAGATAAAATATGTTCATCTTGGAAGCAATAAACATTTATATGTAGCAAGAAAAAATTTTATCTATATTATGCTTCAAGAATATATCTTATATTAACAAAAAATGTGGAAAAATGAAGTTTTCAGAGGCCTGAACAGGAACTGGAGATGTATTAAGTGTTCACTGAAAAACATTTATCTATGTAAACAGAACCTGTGTTACCCCCAGAAGTAAATCTGTATGCCCATGTGTTAATTTTCAGAAAAAAAGTGTAGATCTAATTGCTAACAATAACAACAACAAAATAGATACTTTAGATCTAATAACAGATACTTTAGACACTGTAGCTCTAATTGCTAACAATAGCAACAACAATGAAATAGATAATTACTAATACTCCAATGGGAGTTATTAGTAATAAGGAATAGGGGATGGCTAAGATATCTAGACTTTATTTTTAAAACATGGGTAACAGATTTTCTTTAGTAGTAATTTAATAATAATAAAAGAAATCTACAGAAATAATTCCTTATGAGATATCAGAAACCTAATACCTTGCATAAGTTTGTAAATTATAGTATGACAAAAGCCCATTATCATAAATTACCTACACTAAGCCCTCCCCATAGTATTTACAGTAATATAACACCAGTAATAGTCCCTAAATATTCAAACTGTCTTCTACCCATTAAGCCATGCTGATTGATGAAACCAGTTCTGTCTTAATTCATACCCCTTCAAAAAATTTTCAAAACATTAAAAATTCTCTAGTATGATATACAGCAACATAGCAAAAACTCAGTTTCTATTTAAAATGAAAGCCATAATATTGACATTTTATCAGCAGAGAGGATTTCAATGCATATGCTTGGAAAATAAATGAGGCCTGAAAATGTGAAACGTGTAGAGAAATGAACTATAAAGTTACAGTAATTTCTTTCCCTTTCATTTTCTCTAGTTGCAAACTCATCTTTCAGTAAAATTTTAAATGGTTAAACTAAATAATGGTATATTTTAACCATGGTGTATGCTGATATGATTATTTTCAAGTTCTACAAACCATTATCTATTCCAGGGTAATATGGAAATAGATTTTCTAAGTGTATCAATTCATAGCCACATATTCTACTCAATGAACAGAGATAGTTCTTAAAAACTTATTTATTACTAAAATACTTTTAGATTCTGGTTTTGGTGTTACCATTCTAAGGATAAAACAAGGCTCTGAAACCAAATATGAAGACCTACTAAATGCACATACTGGTTTAAAATCCAAATATAATGCTATGTATCAAACCTCAATCTACTCAGGATAGATGATCTTTTATGAATACCTCTTAAGTATATGTAGGCTCCATGTAAATTCACTAGAACTTTTAGTTGCAGACATTATTTTATAACTTCTTAAACATCTGCTTCATTATACCTGGCTCTTTCTCTAAAGTAGCAGACTTGACTATTTTTTCCTATCCACAAATTAATTGCTTCTCAGTCTTCAATCACTTAATGTCTTTTTTTTTTCTAATTTCAAGCCTGAAGTGAAAACTGGAAAAGCATTTTAATGGTCAGTTTATTACTTCATGATCTATAAAGGTAATACTGTAATCTATAATTTTTATAAAGAAGTACTCACCATTACCACCAAAAATATGAATATCCAATTGTTCACAAAGGTACATTACAAATGTATTCACCTGAGGCAGGAGACCAATGAAAAACACTATTGGGAAACAGAGTGTAAACACTATAAAAAGAAAGAAAAGTATATTTTAAAATATTATACTGTATCCATTCTTGTGTCCACTGAGAGGTCATAATTTTTAAAAATCCCAAATTAACATAAACTACTAAGCAATTTTTAAAAGACAGTATTTTAAATGATACCTCTCAACATAATTGCTTGGGTAGTAAATAACATCTTTTCAATCATAAACAATACTTTTTAAAGTTATTTCAACCATTTTCACATAATAGAAACCTAAGATAACAAAACCAAAAAAATCTTCTGCATTATATCTACTCCAAGAACAAAAGAATTACTATAATATTTGTTCATCATTAGCTTTATTCACTCATAATAGTCCTATCACTTTGTTCCTCAGAGCACATAATAACAGTAAAATAAGCTTATTAAAAACTAAAGCTGTATAATTGATATATTTATCAGTAAAATGTTGATATACAAATAAATTAATTTTAAGATTAGAGATACTTTAAGATGACTCACCTATAACTAAATCCCTGGCTGATATAAACACCAGTGGATTGGTGAAAGTTATTCCATATAATTTGAACTTGGTTGCAGTCAGGTTTCTGCTACCATAATCCAAGAGCCAAATAAGACCGCAACATATGCAGAAATAAACTGGTCTACTGTAGGCAATGATACGATTATGACCCTGAAAATGATATTTTTTAAAAGTCAGTTTGGTTAATTTTAAGAGTCACAAATAACTACTGGTATCACTGATGGCTTTATTCTAAGGATTCAAACTTTTTCCATATGGAAGCCAGATTTCTGACAATCACAGAAAGGATTAACAAATATAGAAAGGAGGAAGAATAACAGAATGAACTCTGAGATACTGGACTGAAACAGAAATATCAGTGTGAAATTTTGTGTTTTTTATTGTTTGTTTGTTTTTTTGAGACAGGGTCTCACTCTGTCGCCCAGACTGGAATGCAGTAGAGTGCTCACAGCTCACTGCAGCCTCAGCCTCCTGAGCTCAAGTGATCCTCCTGCCTCAGCCTTCCAAGTAGCTGGGACTACAGGCGCACATCGCTGCACCTGTTTAATTTTTTTAGAGATGGAGTTTCACCATGTTGCCCAGGCTGGTCTCAAACTCCTGGTCTCAAGTGATCTGCCCACATTGGGCTCCCACAGTCTCATTATTTTTAATATGCATATAAATAGATATAGGAATGGGTAATATATATGTATATACGTGTGTATATATGTACATACATACATACACTTCCTAGCTTTATCCACTAAGAGGACCTAGATGCAATGAGATTCTAGCAATAATGATTACTAGCAACTAGATCTTACTTTATAAATACCATTACCTACCAAAAAAGGTGGGGGGGCTCCATAGAGAAAAGACTGGTTTCTGGCTACAACAGGGAAAGTATAAGATGACCCTGGAACATATTGTTGTGACAAAAAGGTAGAAAGTACTTAAAGAATGACAGAGATATGTCAAAAGGACACAGAAAGCTGCGTGATGGACTCCCAATGGCTAAATCAGGGACAATTTGAGCATCAAAATAAATACTATTAGTAACATTATAGTCCATTGAATAAAATCATCCATTTATCCACACCAATACATACCTACATATATAAGAAGGGAAAGCTCTTCCTTATAGTATTAATAAATAGTCAACTAATAAATGTAGAAGGAATGACAGGATGAGAAAAATCACCATTTGGCAACCAATAAATGATAACTGAATCAGGCAAGAAACATCAGTAGATACTAAAACAATCGGATAGAAATTTATGGAGAAGGACACATATACAATCTCAGGGTATCTCTCTATGAGGTATTTATTTATTTATTTTAAGTATTTATTATCTGTAAGAGAAAAACAGTAACATTACAGTAGAGTAATGGTTCTTAAGAAAGTGGGAGGGGGTTTTGCTCCCCAGTGCACATATGTGAATATCTGGACACATTTCTGTTGTCACAATTGGGGAAGTGGTGCTACCAGCATCTTGTAGGTAGAGGATGCCAAACATCCTACAATGCATTGGACAGCATTCCGCACCCTCAAGCAAAGAATTAGCTGGCCAAAATGTTAATACTGCAGAAATTTCAGACACCTTGAAGACAATACCCTTAACCAGAAGATCAAAATTAACATCACTAGTAACAGGATAAATTAGTATGTGCTTTCTAATATGATGCACTTTTGCAGTATTCCTACTTTAAAAAGCACGGCCTTATCAAATCAGAAACATCATCAGCACCATAAGACAGGGTGAAAAATAAAAAAAAAAATTTTTTTAAAGAAAAAACATCAGACAAACTCAAATTGAGGGATGGTCTATAAAATAACTGGCCTATATCTATCAAAAATTTCAATATCATGAAAGATAGCTTCCAAAGAATTGCTCCAGATTAAAGGAGATTTAAGAGACTAAACATAATCAAGGACTTTCTATTGCCAATGAAGACAATGGGCAAAACCTATTTGAATAAGATCTATATATTAGAAGACAGCATTGTACCAATGTTAATGTTCTAATTTTGATAATTATCTTGAATTAACTAACATAAAGGAATATCTTTGTTTCTAAGAAACACACTGAGATATTTAGAGATAAAGGGGCATCATGTCAGCTAGCAGAGAGAAAGAAGGAAAAATGATCATGTGCTAGAAAGGGATTAAGCAAATATCATAAATGTTAACTTGGGGATCTGGATGAATAGTATCTGAAATTCTTTGTACTGCCCTTCCAACTTTAAGTTTGAAATTACGTCAAAATAAAAAGTTGAAAAGCAATGTTTCCATATATCATTACACTTCAAAAATATTCTTACAAAACAGTAATCAGTCAAAAACAAAAACCACACTTGCCTCTTTGTTTTATTTTGCTCATCCATTCCCATTATTCATTATTCCAGTGAAAGGATTAAAAAAATTATATTCAAGGAAAAAAATCATAAACTATTCATGAAGTCTATTTTTGAACTACTTTAAATAGAATATCCTCTGTTCTATTAAAACCTCAATTTACATCTAAAATTGGATCCCATTTCACAATAAATAGTGCTAGGCAGATAATATTTTTGTCTAAAGTCACGAAGTGAATAACAAAGTTTTTATTCAATGGTCTTAACACCAGACTCAGGTATTACTTCTTTATTCTTGCTCCTAATGGTTACTCAAGTGAAATAATATAAAGTTTTTCCTACTTCAAAATTCTATTTTCAATACCTATTCATAAGCTATTATTCAAAATGTATTAAACACAAATAATCATGAGTTTATAAGAACCATGTCTACTCCCTGAAACAGACTATCAAAAAGTGAATTATCATGCTCATTTTCAACCAAGATTTAGAGTCCACAAGTACAATGTCATTTTATTTCAAGCTAACAAAACACCTATATTTCTAGTAGTGTGTCAAAACATAGATGAGGAAAATAATAACATAAATTTTAGTTCAGGCTGATGCATTCCAAACAAAACAAAAAAACAAAAAACAAACCACAAATATTATGATAAATGTTAAGGACCTATAATGTACAGCCATATTAAGAGTGACTTACATGTCTGGGAGAAGAAGAATCTGGTTGAACACTCTAAAAATGAAACAGAAAGACAAATTACACTCCTGAAGTCTTGCTAATTTTACAACCAACTTTCAAAATGCCTGAAATGAATGATTTTAAGTAAATATTCCACAACCACAAAATGACCTATATTAATAATTCTGTTCCAGAGATGAAACATCAGCTCCAGATACCAGTGTCACTGTGATATTAAAAACATATCAAATCTTTCCTGATAAGAGTCAGGAAATAAGATTATTATGTATTTATTTGTATCTATCTTAAAGTTTCTGCAATAGCATATGATAGACAGAGCCATCTTACTGTTTGGCTTATTGCTATATACAAGTGGAGTTAAGGTATACTAAATACAAGTATAGTATTTCTCACAGGACATCATTCATTCAGGAAATATACAATAATAGGGGTTCACTTATAACAACAATTCTAGTTCTGCCCATAAATTCCAAGCTTACTAAATAATTCAATGGTATTTGTAATAAAGATATTATCTGCATTTTCATATCAAAATAATCAAATAAGTTAAGCTGTATCCTTTTAAGAGATTTTATTAACTTCCCATAAAAATGTTCAGAAGGTATTATGCAGCTACTTCCCTACTCATGACTTTTCTCCCAAGTTTCAGTTCATTTCCAATGGCATACCATACAATTTCACTAGGATTATCTATCACCACCCTACCATTCGATACTGGGCCAAGCTCACTGAGTTTGGCATTTGGCCCTTGGCTAGATTTGACTCCAGATAATCTTTAAACTCTTTTAACCACAGCGCCTATCTTCTAAATGCTTCTGTTCTTGTCTTTCTTATCCCTGTTTATGACATTATTATTCTTCTAGTCAACTAGTTGCAAAAATCTGTCACCTTTTACCTTTTCCATATTTAACCACATTAACCTGAAAGCAGTGGACAAAATTAATTGGACCATGGAGACACTAGAGCCGCAAAATGAATTTAAATGATTTAGGGCACTAAAGGTATAGTGCAAGACTGACAACCAGTAATTTTAATATACAATCATTAAATGTCATCAAAGGGACTGGGTTACTTGTTATTAGTGATCAAGGAGGAAGGAGCAGTGACTCAAAGATTTTTAGCAGGTATATCACTGCCAAAAGCAAAGATATTGGGAAAGAAAAATTAACCAGGAGATGATTAATTTGCTATTTTTAAAATGTCTGTTAGATACACAGGACTAAAGCTTGCAAAAGAGGTGAAGACTTTGAGATATAAATCTGGAAATAACTCATATACAAAGGCAACAAATAAAGCAATAAAAAAGGATGACTTCACTGGAAAGGAACTGTAAACCGAGAAGATAACCACATAAGTCCTAGAGAATTCTCATAAATTAAGCAGTTGAAAGAACAAAGAGGGATCAACAAAGGAAAAGAGAGTCATCTGAAAAGTGAAAGAAACATGAGGGTGGTATAAAGTCATGATCAAAAATGAGGAGAATATCAAAATGGAAGAGTATACATAGGTATTAAATGATGTAGCATTCATAAAGCATGGAGACTTAAGAAAAGCAATTTAGCAATTAGAATGATCATTAGCAACCACAAAGACTATAATTTCAGTACTGCAATGAGGAAAGTATGGATGGGTCTTAAAGAAATAAAGCAGATGACCTAGGTGGCTTACTCCACATGTCTAGCTATAAATGGAGAAGAGAAAGAAAGGATGGACAGCTGTTAGTAAAAACAGAACTATGTCAATGGTTTTCCAGCTGTGGGAGGGCTTCTCTTCAAGGAGAACTACAAACCACTGCTAAGGAAATAAGAGAAGACACAAACAAATGGAAAAACATTCCATGCTCATGGATAGGAAGAATCAATATTGTGAAAATGGCCATACTGCCCAAAGTAATTCACAGACTCAATGCAACCCCTAGCAAGCTACCACTGACTTTCTTACAGAATTAGAAAAAACTACTTTAAATTTCATATGGAACCAAAAAAGAGCCCACATAGCCAAGACAATCCTAAGCAAAAAAAATAAAGCTGGAGGCATCACGCTACCTGACTTCAAACTATACTACAAGGCTACAGTAACCAAAACAGCATGGTACTGGTACCAAAACAGATATAAAGACCAATGGAACAGAACAGAGGCCTCAGAAATAACACCACACATCTACAACCACCTGATCTTTGACAAACCTGACAAAAACAAGCAATGGGGAAAGGATTCCCTATTTAATAAATGGTGTTGGGAAAACTGGCTACCCATATGCAGAAAACTGAAACTGGACCCCTTCCTTACACCTTATACAAAAATTAACTCAAGATGGATTAAAGACTTAAATGTAAGACCTAAAACCATAAAAACCCTAGAAGAAAACCTAGGCAATACCATTCAGGACATAGGCATGGCCAAAGACTTCATGACTAAAACACCAAAGCAATGGCAACAAAAGCCAAAATAGACAAATGGGATCTAATTAAACTAAAGAGCTTCTGTACAGCAAAAGAAACTATTTTCAGAGTGAAGAGGCAACCTACAGAATGGGAGAAAATTTTTGCAATCTATCCATCTGACATCCAGAATCTACAAGGAACTTAAATTTACAAGAAAAAAACAAACAACCCCATCCAAAAGTGGGTGAAGGATATGAACAGACACTTCTCAAAAGACATTTATGTGGCCGACAAACATGAAAAAAAGCTCATCATTAATGGTCATTAGAGAAATGCAAATCAAAACCACAATGAGATACCATCTCAAGCCAGTTAGAACAGCAATCATTAAAGTCAGGAAACAACAGATGCTGGAGAGGATGTGGAGAAATAGGAACGCTTTTACACTGTTGGTGGGACTGTAAACTAGTTCAACCATTATGAAAGACAGTGTGGCGATTCCTCAAGGATCCAGAACCAGAAATACCATTTGACCTAGCAATCCCATTACTGGGTATATACCCAAAGGATTATAAATCATTCTGCTATAAAGACACATGCACACGTATGTTTATTGCAGCACTGTTCACAATAGCAAAGACTTGGAACCAACCCAAATGCCCATCAATGATAGACTGGATAAAGAAAATGTGGCACATATACAACATGGAATACTATGCAGCCATAAAAAAGGATGAGTTCATGTCCTTTGTGGGGACATGGATGAAGGTGGAAACCATCATCCTCAGAAAACTAACACAAGAACAGAAAACCAAACACTGCATGTTCTGACTCATAAGTGGGAGTTGAACAATGAGAACACATGGACACAAGGAGGGGAACACAAGGAGGGGGTCCGTCAGGGGGCGGAGGGTAGGGGAGGGATAGCATTAGGAGAAATACCTAATGTAGATGACGGGTTGATGGGTGCATGGTGGGATGCATGGTGGGATGGGTGGGATGCCACCATGGCATGTGTATACCTATGTAATAAATCTGCACATTCTGCACATGTATCCCAGAACTTAAAGTATAATAATAAAAAAAACTACTACTATTAAAAAAAAAAAGAATGCAAGTTCTTATTTTAACAAATACAGTTTTCTTTTAGGCCAGGCGCAGTGGCTCATGCCTGTAATCCCAGTACTTTGGGAAGCCAAGGCAGGCGGATCACGAGGTCAGGAGTTTGAGACCAGCCTGACCAACATGGTGAAACCCCGTCTCTACTAAAAATACGAAAATTAGCCAGCCATGGTGGCATGCGCCTGTAATCCCAGCTACTCAGGAGGCTGAGGCAGGAGAATCACTTGAACCTGGGAGGCGACGGTTGCAGTGAGCCAGATAGCATCATTGCACTGCAGCCTGGGCAACAGAGCAATACTCCATCTCCAAAAAACAAAATAAAACAAACAAAACAAACACAGTTTTCTTTTAATACAAAAAACTTGTTTTTAGGAAGTGCTAATTTACATACAATTATTTTTAAGGTTTATATCCCCCTTTTGCTCTCTACACAATCTTATGTAAACATGCAAGAAAAGTAAGCCTAAAAATAATTATCTTACTATAATTCAGTAATTGCTACAAAATCCTCTGCCTTTTAACACAAATATAATTCCGTAGCATGAAAAGAAGAGATGCTGGTACCTTAAGCAGTGAGTATTGACAGCTGGCTATGACGAGGCAGAACTGGAAGACCCAGATATCTCTGAAGAATCCTTGTATGAGAAGAATAGATCCCAAAAAGGCCACGAGAATAGCCAGGATGACAGCTAACACATTTTCCAGGATCTCACGATTTCTACGGACAGAAAAACTTATGGGTAAGTATATCTTAAGTATAAGAAATTAACCAAATGGAAAAAAGGGAAGGGAAGACATAAATATGAAGTTCATGGTATGCCAAGATGTCTTTTTGGTACTGAGTTTGAACAAGGTTTTAGATCATACTGAAAACAAACTAGTTTCATGTGGACATAACATGAATTCTTATATACAAATAAAACATGCTACAGTGAATTGTGGAGTTTCAATTACATAATATAGTTTTAAATTTCTATTTTAAAAATGTTACTCTCCTTAATATTTGCTTTTCTATTCTATTTGTTGCAAAATAGTTAACCAACTTGGATGGCAAATAAAATATGTATACAAAGAATCACATTATGTTTAAAAAACAAAATCTCAAAATAGTTTCTAGAAAATTAAATTTAAAACATTTGTTATATGGCAAAATAGTAACAAAATTCTGGCACTAATTGATTTCGCTTCCCCCATCTCTCAGTCATCTGAAAGAATTAGAAAACTCACTTACTAGAATTACTTAAATATGGGCTCTTACATATCTTGAAACTAAAGGTAGTGACAAACACCTCTGCTTCTATCAAAGTTGCTAAGACAATTCTATATTTATTAAATTGACATTGTAAGAGAAACAATATGATGCTCAAGATATACATATATATATATCAATGAAGATTATTTTTATTTCATACACACACATGAATCTATCTCATTACTTCTTGGGAAAATTTTATTCACAAAATCTTATACAAATACATCCTTTAGTATTTCCCTAAAATACTTCTAAATCATATTTTTAAAGACTATTAAAAATGAAAAAATGCTCAGTACATCTCATACATACAGAAAGCAGGACACAAAACCATGGGCATAGGAGGATATAAGTTCTGCTATTAAAAAATTAAACATATAGGTTAAAAAAGACAATATACCAAAAATGATATTACTAATAATGCTTCTCTCCATGGAAGAATTATGGTTTGCCTCTGTCTTCAAAACTTTGTACATATTTAAATTTTCTACAATAGGTAAGGAATTACTTTTATAATCATAAACTTAACAAATATATTAACCCAATTCCATATTTATCACAATCAACTGGGCCTAAAAATAAAATTCATAAACATCTTTGTACTTAATACATTTAATAGTTCTACCAGATAAAAAAGTTCAATAGTATTTCCAAACCAATAAATTACTGGCATTTCCATTTGATTTTAGGTGGTAGTTATGCAATTTCAGATTTGCTAAATCCAATGACCTCTTTTCAATCCTGGGCCTGCCTGAATAGTGCCTCCCTTGTCATTGAACATGTCTTGTCTTTGGATTTTTAAGGATTTTCAATTTTGATGAGTCCAATGTATCAAATTTTGTTTTAATGATCTTGTTTTTGGCATCAGAGCTAAGTAATTTTGCCTAATCCAAGTTCATAAAACTTTTCTCCTGTTTTCTTTTTTTTCTAGAAGTTTTGTTTTACGTTTCACATTTAAGCCTATGATACATTTTCATAATATGGCACAAGGTAAGGCTACAAGTTCTTTATTTTTGTTTTTGAAATGGGGTCTTGCTATGTTGCCCAGGCTGGCCTCAAACAATCGTCTCACCTCAGCCTCCTAAGCACACACCTCTGCGTCCATCTCTATTTTTTTGCATATGGAAATCCAATTGTTCCACCACCATTTGTTGAAAAGGCTATCCTTTCTCCATTTCATTCATCTGAATATTATTTTGATGCCATCTGGGCCTAGAGTTTTCTTTGTGGGAAAGTTTCTAAACTACAATTTCCACTTATTTAATAGATGTAAGACAATTAAGGTCATGTAGTTCTTTCAGAATGAAATTTCATAATTTATCTTTCAAGAAATTTGTCCATTTGTCCAATGTTGAACTTATTTGCATATAGCTGCTCATATCATTCTCTAATTATGCTTTTAATACCTGGAGAGTCTGTAGTGATATCATAACTCACATTCTTGATGTTGGTAATCTACGTCTTTCCTCTTCTTTTGTTTTTTTCTGATCAGGCTGGCTAAAGGTTTAGCCTTTAGCTATTTGTATCAATTGATACAACTGATGTTCTCAAACTTTTCATTTCCTTGATTTTCTTTATTATTTCTCTGTTTCCTCATTGAATTGTTTTGTTCCTTACTACTACCTTTCTTTTGTTTACTTGGGCTTATGTGCTCTTGTTCTTCTAGCAAGTGGAAGGTGAAGTCACTGATTTGAGACCTTTCTTTTCTAATCTAGGTGTTTAGTGCTATAAATTTTCCTAAGTACTGCAAGTTAGTGGCATTCCCAAAATTCAGATATGGTGTGTTTTCACTTTCATTTAGCCCAAAATACTAATTTCTCTCTTGACATCTTCTCTAATCCATGGGTTATTTAGAAGTGTTTAGTTTCCAAATATTTGGGAATTTTCCAAGGTTCTATTTGTTATTAATTTACCATTTAATTCACTATGTATGATTGGATAGTGGACCTTTTAAAATTTAATAACTCTCGTATTATGGCTCAAAATGTGAACTATCTTAGTAAATGTTCTGTGAGCACTTAGAAAAATGTATATTCTCTTGTTATGGATGCAGTGTTCCATAAATGCAACCAATTTAGGTTGGTTGCTAATACTGTTCAAGTTCACAACATCCTCACTGATTTTCTAAATAATTATCCTATCCATTATTTAAAGAGAAGTGCTGAAATCACCTATAACTGTGATTTGTCTATTTCTCCACTTCTATTAGCTTTTGCTTTATGAATTCTGAAGCTCTGTTTCAGGTGTACAAACATTTAGGACTGTTAAATCCTGTGGATTAATTGACTCCTTATCACTATGAAATGGGCTTCTTTATCCTTGGTAATATTCTTTGTTCTGAAGTCTACTTTACCTGACTTTAATACAGCCAGTACTATAAGCCTTTTGTTAATGTTAGCATGGTATATCTTTTTCCATCTTTTAACCTATTTGTTTTTATTTTATTTTGGTAGAAACTGGGTCTACGTTGCCCAGGCTGCTTTCGAAAATTGGGCCTCAAGAGATCCTCCCACCTCAGACTCCCAAAGTGCTGAGATCACAGGCATGAGCCACCACACTGTCTTCTGTTTTTATATTTAAAGTACCTTCCTTGTAGGCAGCTTGGAGTTGAGTGTTGTTCTTTTTTATCTAATCTGCCAATTTCTGACTTTTTCTGACTCTATCATCTTGTCATGTGTTTCCTATTTGTCTCATCTATTCTTTGATCTTTTTCCACCTTATTGATTAACAGTAATTTTTATAATCCATCTTATCTCCTTTTTGACATATTAGCTACAACTCTTTTGTTATTTTAGTGATTGCCTTACAGTAGGTTTTGGTAAGAATTTTTAAAAATATGTTTGTAGAGACAGAGTCTCACTAGGTTGCCAAGGCTGGCCTCAAACTCCTAGGCTCAAGTGATCCTCCTGCCTCTGCCTCCCAAAGTGCTGGGATTACCACGGCGTCCAGCCTAGGGTTTACAATACACATTTATGACAGTCTACCTTCAAAGTGATGATATATCACTTTACATATAAGAAACTTACAATAGTATGCTTTTATTTGTCCCCTCTGCCTTTATGCTATTATCATAAATTTTACTTTTACATGTTATAAACCACACGAAGCACTGTTATTTTCATTTAAACAGTTACCTCTTAAAGAGATTTAATTAATAAGAAAAAATATTTTACATTTATCCATATAGTGACTTACCATTTCCATTTATCTTTGTTCCTTTGGGTAGACTTATATTTCCATCTGAGATCACTTTCCTTCTGCCTGAAAGACATCCTCCAACATTTTTTGTAGTGTGGGTCTGCTCATAAGAATTCTTCCCATTTTTTTCTGATCTGAAGATGTCTTTATTTCACTTTGGTTTTTAAAAGGTATTTTTGCTATGTATAGAATTGTAGGTTGACAGGGTTTTTTTCTTTTCAGTACTTTAAAGATGCTCCTCTACTGTCTTTTCACTTCGTTATTTCCAACAATAAAAAGGATGTCTTCCTTATCCTTGCTCCTCTTTTTTTCTTTTGCAATTTTAACAATTTTATCACTGGTTTTGAGCAGTTGTGTCCCTTGGTGTAGTTTTATTCAAGCATTTTATGCTTGAGGTTCACTGGGCTTCCTGAATGTATATTCACAGTTTTCATCAAATTTGGAAAGTTCTCCACTCTTATTTCTTCAAAATCTTTTGTCTCCTTATTTCTTCAAAATCTTTTGTCTCCTTGTTTCCTCTTGTAGTTGTCCCACAGCTTTCTCTCATTTTGTTTTTATATTCTTTTCACTGGGGACAGTGGACTCTTCTGTTTCATTCTGGATAGTTTCCATTATTATGCCTTCGAGTGAGTTCAATAATCTTTTCTTCTACAAGGTGCAATCTACCATTAATCCCATCCAGTATATTTTTCGTCTCAGGGATTATAGTTTTCAACTCTCTAAGTTTGATTTGGGACTTTTAAAAGTATCTTCTATGTCCGTAGTTAACTTTTTAAACATAGGGAAAGCAGTTATAACTGTTTTAATGTCCTTGTCTGCTAATTCTAGTATCTATTTAAGCTACAGTTTGGTCTCAACTGATTATTCTTGTTAGAGGTCGTTTTCTCACTTCTTTGCACACTTGGTCATCTTTGACTGAATGCTAGACATTGTGAATCTTAACTTGTTGGGTGCTGGGTATTTCTGGATTTCCATAAATCTTCTTAGACTTTATGTTACTTGGAAACAGTTTGATCCCTTCAGGTCTTGGTTTTATTACTTGTTAGGTGGGTGTGAAGTAGTGCTCCTGCTAGGGGTAATTATTCCCCACTTTTAAATATCTTCCTGAGTATTCTACACAAGGCACCATAAAATATGAACCATAAATGTCTCCAATCTGGCTGGTAGGGACATGTACTATTCCCAGTGCTGTGTGATTGCCAGGAACTGTTCCTCTGTTCCTTTTCACATGGTTCTTTCCCTGGCCTCAAATAGTTTCCTCACATACAGGAACATATCCATACTCTGCCAAACAGTCAAGGTGACTCAATGCAGATCTCTAAGGTTCTCTCTCTAAGCAGCTCTCTCCTCTCTAACAGTCTGTCCTGTGGACTCTAACTGCCATAGCCTCCCTGGACTCTCAGTTCTATCTCCTTAACTCAGGAAGTTGGCTGGACTCTACTTCAGTTCTCCCTCCCTGTCTTGCAGCCTAGAAACTCTCTCAAAGCATTAAGCTGGGGCAATTGGAGGGCTCATGTTATTTGTTGTCATCTCTCAGGAATCACTGTCCTTTTTTCCTCATCTCCAATGTCTTGAAAACCACTGTTTCACGTACTTTGTCTATTTTTGGTTGTTTCACATGAGATGATAAATCCAATCCTGTTACTCCATGTTGACTGGAAACAGCTGTTGGTCACCAAGTTTGTGTTTGCCATTAAGAGAGTAGTGTTAAGAACCAGGGAAACAGAAGTTTCCTCTTATAACTGTTATATAGAACTTTGCATCATATTACCTATAACTTAAAGATCATCAAAACTCATATTCTTTGGCTTTTGACTAGCAGTTGTATGAGTCTCACTGATTAACAAAACTAATTTCTTTGTAAAAGATATTGAAGTTGCAACCAAAACATTTTTAATGGATTTAAGATAGTCACTGTTTAGAAACCCATTACCTTAAGTTTTATATCCAGAGGACAAAACCAGAAAACATTTCCCAACATGATAACCAGGTAAAAACCTCAGTGGGTAATTAAAGACACTTCATCTTAAAAATAAAATCCACACGTATCATTAATATCACACTATAATCTCACCTATCAAACAGGGCCAAAAGTGTGAGTCTGTCAAAGTTAATGCCAATCCACAGCTGGGGTAGGATCCAAAAGCGATAATAGTGTTTAACCTTTTGGGCAGCTTCTTCTGTTGGGCCGTAAGTAGCTGCCAAGTCAGGGCTTAGATCAATGTCCTGTTGCTCCAACAAATCTGTATCAATGGTCAATAGTCTATTCAATCGAATCTGTGGGAGAGAGAGCTAAAAGAAAGTCAGCATTGAAAGGCTTAAAATATCTTCAATATTTATTTAATATGTTTATTCAAAATAAAATATCTTCATAATTCAACAGTTACTCAATTAGCTTATCAGTTATCTAAGCCCTTTAATTTTCTTCTCTCATACACTTTTTTTTTTTTTTTTTTTTGAGACAGAGTCTTGTCTGAAGTACAGTGGTGCAATCTCGGCTCACTGCAACCTCTGCCTCCCCGGTTCAAGCAATTCTCTGCCTCAGCCTCCCAAGCAGCTGGGATTACAGGCACCTGCCACCATGCCCGGCTAATTCTTTTTCTATTTTTTGTAGAGACGGGATTTTACCATCTTGGCCAGGCTGGTCTTGAACTCTTGACCTCGTGATCCACCCGCCTCGGCCTCTCAAAGTGCTGGGATTACAGGCAGGAGCCACTGCGCCCAGCCTACTCTTTATGAATATGTTATGATTACCAGAAACTATAGAAGGTGACAATAGGAAGTGAACTAAAACAAAGTTAATTAATCAATAAACCTATTGTAAATAATTGACTAGAAAAGTGTCTAAAATCTTAAGATTTTTCTCAGGGAATGCTTAAGAAAAAACCTTAAGATTTTATAACTGTATAGCTAGCGAATCTACTAAAACCACTTACTGTGAATCGTTAGTGGCTTCTCTTCTCACATTTATAGTCTTTTCTCCTTAAGCTTTGAACCTCATTATCAGTGTTAAATCTGAGCCCCACTGCATTGGATCTGATGGCAGCAACTCTCATTTCTTCCCACAGTCTCTTATCATTGTTGTTACTATATTTCCAAATCCCTCACCCCTGTTTGTTTGTTTGTTTGTTTGTTTTGGCAAGCTGCTCACCTGAGGCTATACAAATTACTATACTATATTTAACTTCAACTCATCCATCCATCAGTTTACCAGTTTTCTTTTCCTCAGAAAGCATCAAAAGTTGACTGTATTTGGCATAGTACTAGGCAGCATTTTGCTATCTCAAGGTTCCCATACCATTTAAAAGTAGAAAACAATAAAACAATCATCTTCCCATGTTTGCTTTCCTATGCAGTTTCCAGGAATACACTATAGCCAAAAAGTAGGGAGGGTTTTACTTTTCAAACACATATCTGGGTATAGTTGAGAAAATTTACTTCCTATATATAACACAGCCATTTCTATCTCTAAGCATTGACAAATACTTTCCAAAACACTTTTTAAAATACTCTATGCCAGGGTTTCTTAACCTTGTACTTTTGTTTCTTATCAAAGGACTTAGAAAAAGAGAGCCACTGGAGGGCAGCAAAGTGATTTTGCCATAGTTTTCAAAAAATTTTTGTGTAACTTCATCAATTTTTATGGCTTTTATAGCTATCTATGTAAATACATATTTCAGATTTAATCTGAAAATTTATCATGTTGTAAAAATAAAGAAAAACCTACCACATCATGTGGATAAAATCGAACTGAGGTAGAACTGGATACATGAGAATCTGTGTCACTAAAATAAAATAAAAAATAGGGAACAGTTTGTCAAGCAGAAAGAAAAATATATCCTTTAACATTCAGATGAGATTCACATATCTTCACTTTTCCATGTTAACTTCAAAATGCAAAATAGCATTTTCCTAGAGTTGTGATAAGCACATAGACTCTGGGTCAGTGACTACATTCAAATCTCTTCCACTGAATGAGATCTTGGACAAGTTACCTACCCTCTTCATACTTGCGTTTCCTCTTCAGTAACATATGACAATAGTATCTGTATCACAAGGTTCTTGTGAAAGTGTTTAAATCAGATAATGCAAAGAAAGCAATAAACATATTGCCAGGAATCAGTAAAGACACAATAAACTTAAGCTATAATGTAATAACCTACAACATAAGTCAGTTTCCACAGTTCAGTCATGTTTGGATTTCAAAACTTGAGGCTTTACCACATTTATAGTGTAAGGAATTGTTCTCTTGAACTACATTAAACATGGTAACAGCATTTCTATCCCTCCCTCCTCCTACTGTTTCCATTGTTACAGAATCAGGGTAACAGTACAATTTAATAATTTTTTGAGAGGGTGAATTCTGAAACTAGACCAAAGGAGCTTAAAGAGCATGGTTATCTATATGTTCTACTTTTTCAGCATGTGGAGCTAAATGACTGCAAGATTTTATTGCTTTAAATGGTCCCTCAAAACAAAAAAATAAGTAAACAGCCCACAGATGTCTAACATTTAAACAGATGTGATCCATCATTAAACAGAAGTCCTAAAATAAGAATCAGTAACTCTTGAGGGGAAAGAAAACTAATTAATCAAGAATAGGCTTCAAAGTGCAATTTGAATAAATAAGCAATAAGATCAAAATTTTAGAAAACAAAAATGTTAACACCTTCTAAAAATATAATTGATGTTATATGATCAAGATTTCTAATTTATTTGCTCTTCTCCTGACTTCATTATCTTACAAATTCCTTCAGATGGGGGGATAAAAGAAGCTAAAGGTAACGTATGAGACATATTTTAAGAAATACTTCCTTAAAGCCAGTAAAAGAAATTTTAAACAAAATGAAAGTTGATTATTTAAAAAGGTACTTGACCAAACACTTAGAAGGAAATAAAATTTTAAAATTACATAAAGAAAGAGAACCAATAGGTTTGAACTTAGTTATGTAAGAACTTACATGAAGAGTAAGTCCTGATTAGCTTTTATACATTATACAATATATAGAGAAAATGAAATACAATTAAATTTGACACTGTGGGAAAACACTGTGCCACTGTAAGATCTTCGGGATATCTTGATTTAGTTTTTAAAACACAGAATAGCTTTTGTTTTAAAAACAATACTTTCTTTTTTCCATAGCAAAAAAAATTCTACCTTAAGTTTTTAGAAACAAATGCACTATGACAAATTATTAGAGTAAATATAAAGATGTTTTCAAAATAACTTTTATATCTGACCTGGTGACTACAATTAACAACATACTGTATACTTGAAAATCACTAAGAGAGTAGATTTAAGTGTCCTCACCGCAAACAAGATTATAAGTATGTGAGATAATACATGTTAATTTTAGCTCAATTAAGCCAATGTATATGATATTTCAAAACATCAGGTTGTATGCCATAAATATTTATGATTTTTATTTGTCAATTAACAACATTAAATTATAAAAAACAAAAAAATTAACTTTTATAGTTCTAGGCTTAAAAACATTAAATATGGCAAACATATGAAAGTACACACACTCCTAATATGACTTCACACATACCAGATATTGGATGCTCTTCTTGCTGCTGGTTCAAAATTCACAAGTGACATATCACAGCCACCAGTCTCATACAGCGTAGAAGAGAACTTACCTAGCAAATAAATGATTATTTTAAAAAGCCATTAGAATACTCAGAATTTTTCCTTCATGATATACTAAATTTCGTAAGTTTCTACATCTTAAGAAAATACACCATAACCTTTAAAAAAAATTTTTTTAAAACAATGATCTGCATGTAATTCAGCAAGATGTGAGTTGAAAAGGAACGTTGGACAGTAGGGTAAAACATCAACATACATAATCAGGTATTAAAAGGAAGGGACTTAAGTCAGCTTTGCAATACCAATCTCTTTTTTCTTTTTCCCACGGCACATTCTCTATTCAGGTGATCATATGAATGAATTTAATGTTTAAAAATCACCTGACAACTACTTGCAGGGGGTGAGTACCCATTTGCAAAGCTTCTTAAATTTGGAATAGCTCAAACTACAAGCCCACAAAATCATGTGACTGCATTCTGAGCTGTGTTTCTTAAGAAAAGTGTCCAAGTGTATCTAAGAAAGGTCAGTGAATGGAAAGAGCTAGTATTGTTGGTGATAATTAAATTATATTATTTAATGAACATTATTTGTTGTATGTTTCTACCACAAGAGCGCTATGAAAAATTTAGAAACAGCAATTGCTACAGCCAAATATCACTATGAAACTGATAAAAGGTTTAGAAATCATATTGGTTGCAAATGTTGCAAATGAATACAGATTTTTTTAATTCTCTTAAGATGAACTTTATAATATAAAATGATTTCTAATAATGAAATTTTAAAACTCTACATACTGCCTGAGATGTATTCTTCCCCTTTGAGGATCTATGGTAGCCATATCGGTGATGAAAAGGGAGCATAAATTAATTAATATAAATTTCCACGAAGGCAATGAAATGAGGTATACAACTCTGCAACCATTTGGTCTAGTCCAGGTTGCTTTTTGAGCATTTATGAGGTTTTTATTAGCTGGAATTAAAGAGGTTAAAAACAGGAATCCCTTTTTTTTTTTTTTTTTTTTTTTTTTTGAGACAGAGTCTCGCTCTGTCACCCAGGCTGGAGTGCAGTGGCGCAATCTCGGCTCACTGCAAGCTCTGCCTCCCGGGTTCACACCATTCTCCTGCCTCAGCCTCCCGAGTAGCTGGGACTACAGGCGCCCGCCACCACGCCCGGCTAATTTTTCGTATTTTTAGTAGAGACAGGTTTTCACCGTGTTAGCCAGGATGGTCTTGATCTCCTGACCTCATGATCCACCTGCCTCAGCCTCCCAAAGTACTAGGATTACAGGCGTGAGCCACTGCGCCCGGCCAAAACAGGAATCTTAAAGGTCAATGTTGACTTGATGGTAAGGCTAAAAGTCAGATTTTCCCATGCCTACAATGCAGAGTGTGCAATAAGGGCTTTTTATTTAAGTGAAATACTTGAAAAAATGCTAATAAAAGGACTCCATAATGTACTAATATGACTAAGAGTTTACAGAACATCTCAAGCATTACTTCATTCTTTAAAACGACTAGAACCAGGAAAAAAACAACAATTTGAATTATTTAAGTACATTCTATGGATCATAAAAGTTATGCTGTTTTCTGTAGCCACATTTTTTTTTGTCGAATAATATACTCCTAAGTTAGGGAAAAAAAGGTTTTCTGTGAAATGCTCAGGTCATTTGCTGTCTTTTTTCAAGGTTATTCAGCATGTAAATTATTTAAGACACTCCCCACCCCCATCTTTTAGTCATAAGTCATTCATCCTTAGCACCTCTAATAGAAACTGGATTAATGAGCTAAAATGAAATGATACAAGCCGTCAACTTGGCTACTTCATAGATGTATCACTGAAAGTTTTTTTAAAGTGGTAGGGTGAATTACAGAAGTTGCTACCGAAAAAAAAATAAAAAATACCGGCTCACTTAAAATTAAAAAAATTTTAATTGCAGTTTTTAATGCTCTGTTCTGTATTCATTTATTGGATAATCAATGATTAGTGCTGCTATCATAATTAAACTTAGATTAAGAGAAAAAAGAAATATCTGCTCAAAATCATGGATTACATAAATGCAGAATTATTGTTAACTACATTAAATGACTAAATCATGGATTAACAAAGAGCAAAGAGGGCTTGGTTACTGCATATGAAACTCAGTAAGAACAGAATGCATAAATGTATTGTCATAACATAATTTATACATATTTTAGAAATAAGTTAATTCTGTATTCAATAGAACTTAAATTGTTGCAGTATTTCTCAGCATTCAAGCTTTCCAAAGGATTTTTATTAATATATAAGTTCTGTTCTTGGTATATTAAAAATAATATGTATCTGTGACAAAATCAACTAAAGATATTATCTTTGTAATTTTCAAATGAAACAGTAAAAGAATATGATGTCATTATACTACCATGTTGTCTTTTATGTATAAATATCTAATATTAAATTTACATAGAAATAGTTGCATTTTAAATAAATAAACATAAAGAATGCAAAAAAAAAAGCTTTTCTAAACAGACAGTTGGAAAAATTGAGTAGTTCTATTACTACCTGAATTTACAACTCTGAATGATTCTATCCAAATTACTAACAAGTAATAAAATCTAAAAATGTAAGCAGAAGCATAAATATGTCTAAAAGAGAGGCTATGATTTTAACAGAAGTACATGACTTCAACAGTGCTTTTCTTTTTTTCCTTAAGAGGCTTTTGTCTATTAAGCTTCAGAAGCATGTTTAGGTTCTTAAAAATACGCATGGCATTTGTCAGAACAAACTAACACTGTAATAAGGCCTCATGGTGTAGTCCCAACTTCACTCCAAAAGAACAAGTCTATGTACTTTAGAAGTACCAAATTTTACTCTGAAGATAAACACACCAGAAAAAGAAATTACTAAATGTAATTTAATGTGCTAATGTATCCTACTGAAGGCAGCTTAAAAAATAACCAACCAGAAATAAATATATATTACTATTGGTTTATGAAGATTACGTTTGTACAAGTTTTCTTGGCATACACAGCAATTTTACTATTTCTTTTGAGATTAAAACCATCATATTTAAACTTTAGATCTGAAGTAAAATATGCCGTTACAATACCCCTATTTTAATATTATTCTGCCTTAAGAAAAATACTTCAATACTAATTTTTTCTAATAAACAGAGTAGAAAGCAGAGCAAAGAAATATGTCCTTCTCACATGAATTTGGATTATAAACTAAGCCATCTCATCATGATTCAACTGTGACCAATTAATTATACCTGATAGAATGCCTCTGTCATGACTTAAGGAGAAAAAAAAATCAGTTTCTAACAAAATAAACACGATTAGAAACTGGAATTTCAGACTTGTAAAAATTATACTGGCCAAGGGACTGCATCTCTAAAGACACATACACAAAAAGCTGATATGCCAGGCGCAGTAGCTCATGCCAGTAAATCTCAGCATTTTGGGAGGCAAAGTGGGAGGACTGCTTGAGCCCAGGAGTTCAAGACAAGCCCAGGCAACATAGTGAGACCTCATCTCTACACACACACACACACACACACACACACACACACACACACACACACACACACACACACACACACACAGACACACACACGTACTAGCTGGGTGTGGTGGCATGTGCCCATGGGCCTAGCTACTTGGGAGGTTGAGGTAGGAGGATCACTTAAGCCTAGGAGGTTGCGGCTGCAGCGAACTGTGTTCATGCCACCGCCCTCCAGCCTGGGCAAGAGAGTGAGACCCTGTCTCAAAAAAAAAAAAAAAAAAAGTTAAGATACCTAGTATTTCTTAGCAGTCTTATTGAATACTCAATAGTGACTGTTATTGTTCATAAAATTTGTTAATTACACACAACCATTCTTTTGAAGTAATATTTCAAAGTAACAACTATAGGTCAATGAATAAGTGATGAGCAACAGGAAGATGAGTAAAACTGGATACTCACTTAACACCAAGGATACTTGAAGCATTTGCCTAGAGCCATGAATGGTGCAGCAGGCAAATTCTGATAAACATTCACAAGACACTGATAAAAGACATGGGAAATGAATGGGATTCTCTAACTTACCCTATCAGTAAAAATCCTCACCATACAAAACGAAGTTGAGTACATCAAGAATTTTAAGAACAGTACTCACCTAAGAAACTCCAATTGCATTCCCCACCCCCCCTTTTTTTTTTTTAGACAGAGACTCACTCTGTCACCCAGGCTGGAGTGCAATGGCACAATCATAGCTCACTGCAATCTCAAACTCCTAGGTTCCAGTGATCCTCCCACCTCAGCTTCCTGAGTAGCTGGGGCTGCAGGCACACGCCACAGTGCCTGGCTTACTTTTTAAAACTTTTTTGTAGAGATGGGGGTCTTGCTATGCTGCCCAGGCTGGTCTCGAATTCCTGGGCCTAAGTGATACCTCCTGCCTCAGCCTCCCAACGTGCTGGAATTACAGGTGTTAGCCACCACGCCCAGCCTGTTGCATTCTTGACATCACTCATTTTTCTAAAGTTACCTATATGTATCTTGGAAGGAGGTGGTTACTAGAACAACAAATCATCCATAGTGTTTTTCTAATCTTCCAAGTACCAACAACAAAAGAGGTCTCTTAAATTTCTTGGATAATTTTCTTCTTTAACCACCTACCTCCCCCAACCTTCCCTTCATTCTGTGTCCTCCAAGCCTGATGCACTGTCTACACTGACTTCTCTTTTTTTAAGTATTACTCATAGGGCAGAGAGGGGCTATAAAAACAAAGAGAGATATATGGGCAGTAAATGTATAAAGTGAGTTTTTAAAAGACATTTGGGGGAACATATACATTCTATATGACTGAAGTACTCAATAATAGAAATGTTATTCAAGAAATAATCTGATGGAGATAGCACTGTGTTCATAATGCAATCTCAATGAATATATTATACTTTTAAAGAGAAGGCCTTTAAGATCAATTCTAATTTCTTGGATAGCACCCCCCTTATAATCATAAGTGGTGACTCAGTTTTTACCCACACAGAAATTACTCACTATATTGCTGCTTACTGGTTAATGCAACGGTCCCCAACCTTTCTGGCCCCCAACCTTTCTGGCATAAGGGACCAGTTTCATGGAAGATAACTTTCCTATGGATCCAGGGGATTGGAGGACGGTTTCAGGATGAAACTGTTCCACCTCAGATCATCAGGCATTGGATTCTCATAAGGAGTGGGCAACCTAGATCCCTTGCATGTGCAGTTTACAATAGGGTTCATGCTCCTATGAAAACTGAATGCTGCCACTGACCTGACAGGAAGCGGAGCTCAGGCAGAAATGCTCGCTCCGCACACCCTGCTCACCTCCTGCTGTGCAGCCCTGTTCCTAACAGGCCGCAGATCCATGCCAGTCCATGGCCTGGGAGTTGGGGACCCCTGGGTTAATGGACTTGTTTCTCCCTAGATTAGGGGAGAAATAAAAAGGTCAGAAAACTTTTCCTGTGAAGGGCCAGATAATACATACTTTAGGCTTCATGGGCCAGATAACCTCTGTTGCAACAATTCAAGTCTACAACTGTAACATGAAAGCAGGCATAAGACAATACAGAACATAAACACAAATTTTATTTATTTACAAAAACAGGTAGGTATAGAGCTGGACTTAGCCCACAGGCGGTGGTTTACTAACACCTGTCCTAGACCAAGAATCTTAGGCTCCAAAAACTTCTTTAATCCTCATGATACAATGGAAATCAGGTCACTATGTCCTTGTAACTTCAAGTTTCAATATTTAGAACAAGTCTTTTTTCTTAGTATGTGCAATGCTGTTCTAGCTTTTTAAATCAGAAGGATAAGGAAAAGGTAGGTATAAGAAGAAAGTCTGGTTTAGAAGACAGCTTTGGGGACTGGTAAGGAAAGACAGATATCTCTATTGCTTGGCAACTATAAGTGAGATTTACATACTGATATATTTTACTGACATGGCTATCTGATTATCTAGTTCTGAGTTAATAAAACATGCCTTAATTAATTGTTAAAAACTCCACTCCTGCTTGCTAATCCCCAAATCAGCTGAACTTTCCAAAAGTGAATGTACAAGTTCATATTTTGCTGTGATTTCATTATCCACTCACATTTTATTTCAAAAAGACAAGTTCTTCTTACTTGGGTAAAATAATCTATAATAACGACATTGATGACATTAAGACTGGTCAGGTAAACAAAAAGACAAGCCACAGAATGGGAGAAAATATTTGTAATTTGTATCTGACAAATAAGTTGTATTTAAAATATCAAAAGAACTCATACCTCAACAGTTAGAAGACCAACAACCCAGGCTGGGCGCAGTGGCTCATGCCCGTAATCCCAGCGCTTTGGGGGGCCGAGGCGGGCAGATCACCTGACGTCAGGAGTTCGAGACCAGTCTGACCAACATGGCAAAACCCCGTCTCTACTAAAAATACAAAAATAAAAAAATAGCTGGGCACGGTGGCACGCACCTGTAATCCCAGCTACTTGCGGGGCTGAGGTAGGAGAATCGCTTGAACCCAGGAGGCAGAGGTAGCAGAGAGCTGAGATTGCATCACTGCACTCCAGGCTGGACAACAAGAGTGAGACTCTGTCTCAAAAAAAAAAAAAAAAAAAAGAAGACAACCAACAACCCGATTTTTAAAATGAGTAAATTTCTGGACACACTTCACAAAAGAAGATATATATGTATGTGGCCAATAAGCACATCAAAAGATGCTTACTATCTTTAGTCATAAGAGAAATTCAAATTTAAACCACAATGAGTTACCATTCTATACCCATTATGTCTACAATTCTAAAGGCCAACAAAAGCAAATGTTGGCAAGAAAGGGAACTACTGGAATTTGGTGGTGGGGATGTAGAACTCTTTTCAAAAAGACAGTTCAGAAATTTTATTCACAACAGCCAAAAACGGGAAACAACACAACCATCGCCAGGTGAACAGATAAGCAATATACAGCCTGCTCATACAATGGAATTCTCAGCAGTAAGAAAGAACAAACTACTCACACATGCAAGCAGTATGATGAAATCTCAAAAAGCATTACACTACAGGAAAAGTACATACAAAAGGCTGTATACTATATGACTCCATTTATATCAACTGCTAGAAGAGGGAAATCATAATGATAGAAAGCAGATTAGTGGTTGTCTATGACCAGAGGCAGCAGAGAGATGGACTGCAACAAGGCACAGAGAATTTTTTGAAGGTGACAGAAACACTCGCATCTTGATTAAGGTATCTGACGGGTATACACATCTGTTAAAACTCCTTGAATTGTATACATTTAACAGATGCCATTTATTGTGCCTAAATTATATATCCATAAAATTGATGAAGAAACAAGAAAATAAAGACTGACCAGGTAAGAGTCTGATGAGCATGTAGCAGCAAACAGTCAGTGAAATTCCTACCAGATACTAAGATTTGGGGGAATTACATTGGTATTTGCCGTTCTGTTTCATGGTTCCATTTAAAAATTATTACTCATCAGAAAATTAAAAAGTAGTATATAAGAAGAAAGTTCATTACTACCCAAAGACAGCCACTGCCAAGAGTATTTTCTGTGTTCCTCTGAACGGAATCTTCCCCTCACTGAATTTCTGCTGGGCTTCTGTCCACCTAGTTAGAGACATTTTTCAGCCTCTCCCACGACGAGAAGTTGTCACATGATTATGTATGGCCAATGAAAGGTGGGAGAAAACGAAAGGCATGTTTTCCAAATCTGAATCAGGAAGATAAAGGCTAGATGTCCTTGACCTTTTCTCCTCATTCCTGTTTGCTGGAAAATGTCAACGACTACAGCAGGCACTTAGGACAAGGCAAGAAAGCCACATGTGAAAGATAACATCATTCATCCATCATGACAGAAATAGATCCCATTAGACTCCCAATGGTTCTCATGAGAGAAATAGAAACTTCTCTTTCATTTCAATGATTTTGGAAGGGTCTCTCCTTTAAAGAATCTAGCATATATTCCAACTAATGCATATACTAACCAGCTTTAATTTAGAATCTTAAGAATGATTAATGTTAGAAAGCAGATAATCTAGTCTAGTGATTCAATGAATTCTTTACAACATACTAGCAAGAGACAAATTAAATATCTCAACCTGTCCCTGTAAGTTTCCGTAAAATTCCTAGAGCTGTTCAGGCACCCAAAACTATTTGAAATAATATTCTAGTAGTCTTCCTACAATAACAGTGATAAACTTCTGAGCATTATCCAGGGGATGAAAATAAGAGTAGATAAAATTCATCTAGATTTACTTTTAACTTGTAATATTTGTGGCGATCCTCCCAAACTCTACCAGATAAAGTATAAACTAGAGCTTTCCATAAAGCCATTAACAGTATATATCAAAGCCCCAAAAATGTATATTCCCCTTGACCGATAATTCCATTTCAACATTATTTACCCTAAGAAAAAAATCACAGCTGCTGTACACTAAAGCTTATGTAATGGACATTCAGCACAGTGTTCACTGCAATAGGAAATATCAGGAAACAGTGTGAAGACTAACAATGGGGTTAATTGATTAAATAATGATATAATATTTTATCAATAATGACAAAGATGATTATATAACAAGTTTACAATTGTCGAGCACTGTTCTAATTGTATGCTTAATAAATATAATCCTGACAATAAACCTATGAAGTAGCCATTATTTTTGCCATCCTTTGATAACTGAGGAAACTGAGGCTTAAGACAAGACAATAACTTTCCCAAGATCGCATAGTTAATAACTGGTAGAGCAAAGATTTGAAGCCAAGAAGTTTGGCTCCAGAGTCCACTATATTGTACTGCCTTTCACATACATCTAAGTGACAAAACATTATGCAGCCACTTAAAAACAAATCAAAGAGGCCGGGCATGGTGGCTCATGCCTATAATCCCAGCACTTTGGGAGGCCGAGGTGGGTGGATCACCTGAGGTCAGGAGCTCGAGACCAGCCTGGCCAACATGGCAAAACCCCATCTCTACTAAAAATACAAAATTAGCCAGGCATGGTGGCACATGCCTATAATCCCAGCTACTCGGGAGGCTAAGGCAGCAAAATCGCTTGAACCCAGGAGGCGGAGGTTGCAGTGAGCCAAGATTGCACCACTGCACTCCAGCCTGGGCGACAAAGTGAGACTCCGTCAAAAAAAAAAAAAAAAAAAATCAAGGGACAGCTAATAACATGAGTAAATGTTCAGACTGCTAAGTGAAAAAAGCAAGATACAAAACTCAAACAGTAGCACAAAAGTCACGACATGATCCTAACTCTATTTTTTTAAGTGCATATACACATGTACATTTTAAAAGACTGGAAGGAATAAATTACAACATACTAATAGTGGATATCTCTTAGTGATGAGATTGTAGATGACTTAATTTTCTTCATGGTATTTTCCAGTATTTGTCAACTTGTATTTCTGTTGTAAGGATGGGAAAAGCACATTCTACTTTTACCAAAACGAAGTAGAATATAGCCCTTAAACCTCTTAATACTTCTTCTTTTGAAATATAATGAAGTATTTTTATTGTTTTGATAAAAATAAACATTTTACTTTCATTTATATATACTTTGTTGCCCCTCACCCCCCAAAAATGATCAAAGAATAGAATTTATTATTTTTTTGTACTCAAAACAATAATAAAGGACAAAATCAAGGTTGCTGCAAAAGGATGTAACTTTTTTGTTCAGATGAATGAAAATAATCTACCATAACATAAGGAACTGACATATTAACTCTAAGATCCCTTACAGTCCTCTGACTCTGTGTTAATAGTAACAAGGACAAGTACTAATAGCCCAAAATGCTAGAGTAGTATATACAATCTTTTTTAAAACACCAAGACTAACTCTAATAAAAGTCACTAAAAGTACTGTTGATCACCTGAGTCTCTGCTTTTTAAAGTAGAAAATCTAAAAGCTTCCAAATTATATTTCTGCTATGAACTGCTTAATAGGAAGAGCAATGTTGCCAGGTTTCCTTCAATAATTCTCCTACAGCCAACTACATTTTCAAGTTAACAAGCTCTAGAATAAAGCAGATTACCTCAAAGAATACCTCCTTTGTCAATCCTTACACAGTAATAAAACAAAAGAAAACCTAAGGAAAATCAATTCAAGCATCACTTTTTAAAAATCAGATACATTAAGAAAGTCTTAATCAGAGAAATACTACTCATGATATATACATGCTTTGTAATTACGTCTTGATAAATATAGAACTCTTGTCCTCATTTCTTGTCAACATTGTAACAGTAATTTTTAAATTTTTCACATAAAGACAAAATAATAGCTTCATATACACTTTCAAAGCATTTCCTCACCCCAACCACTAATTTCATACACAGAAAAAACCACAGGCAATGTTTCCTGTTCTATCTGATCTCATCTAGAACATTTTGTTTGAGATGTTGTGTTACAAATTAAGAGTGTAACTACCAGCTATAATGGCAAGTTTCATCACTGCATCAACTTATTAGTCTTAATTTATAAGAGAAAACTAGGATTAGTAACTGAGAAGTGCCAAATTCTATAGAAAAGATTAGCAGATATAAAACAGAACTTTAAGGCTACCTGATTCAGTCTCTTGTGTGACTTAATCTGGGCATTACTAAGTCACAGCTTGTTTTATTTAGAATTTTTGTAGTTTAATTCAGAAAACAGTATAAAATCAACAACAAATAGCAATTCCAACAAAAGACCAATCAGAAGAAAATTAACCCTTAATATGTGGTCTTTAAAATAAAGAGCAACATATTACATTGAAGAATTTGAGAAATTCTGATAGAAATATCATTTCCAAAGATATTAACTTCCAAAACTCATCCAACACTTAAGTCATTTGAACCCAATTTCTTTTTAATTAGGTACACATGGAAATGAAAGCTATAAATAGGAAAGAAAACTATGTCAGTTTTTCTTTTTTTTTTTTTTTTTTTTTTGAGATAGGGTCTCACTCTGTCACCCAGGCTGGAGTACAGCGGCGCAATCTTGGTTCACTGCAACCTCCGCCTCCCAGATTCAAGCAATTCTTGTGACTTAGCCTTTTGAGTAACTGGGATTACAGGCACGTGCCACCATGCCAGGCTATTTTTTGTATTTTTAGTAGAGATGGGGATTCACCATTTTGGCCAGGCTGCTCTAGAACTACTGACCTCAAGTGATCTGCCCGTCTTGGCCTCCCAAAGTACTGGGAGTACAGGCATGAGCCACCGAGCCCAGCCTAAGTTTTTCCTTTTAAATTAAGCCACTTATAATTCAAATTCTAAAATTAATCATGATTAACAATTTTGCTTGCTGAATACAGATGATACAAGTACTTTTTCCTCTGTTTAATAAGCTACTAATAAAATCCTCATAATACTATTTTTAGTGAATTTTTCCATGATGTCTGATGTTCTCTGGTAACCTTAAAATGCCAGAGAAATAAGGATTCTCGGGGTTTAGTATAGGAAATGAATATGGTTACCTATTGTGACACCACAAAATAAAGATGTAGAAAACACAGTTTAGGAAAACTATCTAGGCTTAGAATTAAACAATGTCTGATTCAGAGTTTTTTTTTAATGCAAAACAGCATACGTACATGTACATACACAAACATATGCACTCAAACATGTATGTGTGTATGTATGCTTTATATAAACAAATTATGCATATGCATATACCTTCACATGTAAAAACTGGTTAAAAATTTTTAATAGAGGAAGCTAAATTTGGAAGGAAGCAATCCTGTGTAAATACTCCACTTTTAGGGAATATCATAGCTAACTTTAATATATTTGAGTATAAAGTACCCAAATTCATTCACGTATTTTCATTCACATAATTCACTGCTAATTAAAATCAAGTAGAAAATTAAACCACACAACAAAACTATTCTAGCTTCTCTACCAATTCCTTTAAGTTCAGTTGCAGTTCATTTTCAGAATCTTTTTTGGCCAACTTTATAGGCATTGGAACAGGTATACACTCCATTGATTGTTTTGTGCTAATTATTACTAAGTATTCAATTTGGCACCATTCAAATACGATAGAGCGAGACCTAGTTTAAGGTGGCAGTTAACAGAAAAGATAAAATCCAAATTACAAGAGAATATCCTGAATATCCACCAACAGATGCTAAAGTCGTCTCCAATCAGAAGAGGTTTTTTCAATCTTCAGAACTGGAAAGGCAGTTCATATGTAAGTATTTTCAATAATTGGCATGTGGATTTAGAATGAGACTTTATCATTAAAGCTTGCTTAACAAATTTTTTGAGCAAACTAAGAATTCTTATGGAGGACAATCATCTACTGTTTCATTTTATGCTTGATCTAAGTCTAAAACTCTGAAAGGGATTAAAATGAAGCCTTTTATTTTAGCTGATCTACTACTATAAAGCCAATGAACAATGAGATGGTAACTGTAATTTTATATCTGCAGATTCACAAAAATCCTTTGGGTTGAGCAAAGAGAAATAGCAATATAAAGTTATTACATAACTGAATATATTTACAACTGAAGAAGTATTGCTTACAACTAAAACAAGTAGCTAAACTGGAGTCTACCTCATTCTCCCTCAAGCAGCCTCCTTATAAATATTCTTGCCTCTACAAATTACAAACTCAAAAGCAAAAGCATTCCAAATTTAAAATGTTTTATTGCTTTCTCATTTTATTTAGAAATCACCATACATTCTAATGTTATAAATATCTTAGATTACCATTTTCAAGTGTCTGTGAGATCTGAACATGACACTTTTCATCGATATGCATACGTACTTAATACCTCTCTACAACTCAGCATTTTTACAAAATAGAAAAAAGAGTCAATGAATAGGTAGCATATAAAATTTTATTAAATCCTAATTTGGGCAACTTATACCTCATATCCTTCCAGTTGAAACAGTAACTGGATTATCATGTTTATAAGTAAAAAGCAATTATAACATGAATAAACAAAATCACAATGAGTAAATGCTTTCAAGTGAATTATTTCTGAATAACTAGATTTTCTTCATTATATTTACTTAAACCATTACTAACCTGCATTCTGAGAACAAGACAGCTAGATTATACAGAGACACAGAAACCAAAGTAACATAAAGTATCACCCTTAAATAATGCATAAGACAGATATCTGAGTAGGTATGTATCACTGATGTTTAATGATATCACACTTCTGAGAATTAATTATTCAATAATTTATATGTTTATAGATATATTGACAAGAACAAGAAATAAACTTTATAAAGTTATTATGTGACATTAGTACGGAGCCATGATGTCCTTAGAGTACTGTATTTTGAATTAAAATAAAACCTACTACAGATGACGAACATAGTGTGAAATATAGAATATCTTAAAGAAAGATTCTATAGTGGCAGACAATTAGAAAGCACTTTTCCCTTTCCTAAAGCACATTCAAAATATTCAAAGAAATTAAAGTTTAGTAAGAAACTTTTTTTTTAAAAAAGTCAACGTTTTCTCCTACATGGTACAAATGCCTGGGAAAAACAGAATTGAGTGTGAACATATATTAACACTTTAACTACCTATTAAAAATGGACATGACCAAAAGAAAATGCAGAATAAGAGTAGAGAGAAACAGAAAAGGAAAAAGCAAAAAGTCACATTTTCCTAACACATAGGGTAAATCCTATGTAAAAAGTGCTCCTATGCATAGTTCCAAAATGAAACTATCTCAAAAAAGAACTGCAATTGTTACCCATCATCTGCTGCATTAAAGTTTTTGTATCATCAAGATTACATAAGGCCTGCATACCAAGTTCATCGTGCAAACTGCTACCGCCTACAGCAGATGCATTGTCATGTGATGCTTCTAAGTGGACACTCCCATTTCTCACCAGCAAGGAGGCACTAGCACTGAGCACTGCAGCCTGGGAAGGGGGGCGGGACTGGACTTTGACCTGGGCTGTGGACTGCTGGCCTTGCTGACCATCTTGAAGGCTAGGAAAAAACATGGATTGGGGAGACATTACAGGGAAGAAAAGAGAAAACAATACCTAGAATGAAGTCAACATAGAAAACTGATTTCAAAAAGGCACTTTTTTTCAACATAACCTAAGAAAGCGCCAACAAACTTTGCAAAATATACAGATTACATTGCCAACTTAAATCTTCTGGTCCTTACAAATTTGATTTGAAGAGACAAATGCAGTCAACATTAAATGTACATGTAAATTGGTCAATCTGCGACTTTTTTCCACCTCAAGCCAACTAAATTCTAGTGTGAGGAAAAAGAAAGCAGCAAAAAAGAATCATAAGTACATTCAATATATGTGTGCTGCAGCTGGCCCCAACAGATAAGCCCTATGTTTCAGTTAAATATGCACTTTCATTTATAGCCTTGTAATAACTCTAGAATTGTTCTTTCAAATATTCTGAGATCTCAAACTCACAATAAAACAAGTTTATATGCACTTGAAAACCAAATAATCTTATCAAATGCAACCAAAATAACAATCTTGAATCAAAAAGAATCACAAACTAGCAAGAAAACCAGAATAACTGACTCAACCAATGAAATACAAATTGCCATGGAATATAGTCAGAGGTAGACTTAATATAAAGTGTTATCTATAAAAAGCTTACATCTTTCTGAAATAAGGCCACGTGCTTTATATACAAGTATTAGTTACGTTCCCATAACAAATTTTGTTATTTCTTCTTCCAAACCATATTCCAGTCTCATTTACATGGATCCATCATTTTAGAAAATCTTTAAAATAATTGGGAAACTAGTAATTTCTCAAAGGATATTAGGCCTAAGTTTGATACAATTTTTAAATACTTGGTATTTTGAGATTAAAATTATTTATTAGAAATTTTAATACAAATTATCCAAATTAAGAGACTATATTAACTTATTTTATACTTTCATATTTTTATGATACTATGAATTTTAATGTTCTCAGTATAATATTTAGTCAAATTTAAACTGACAAAACTCATGAAAAAATGTTTTGAGTATAATTATTATTCTCTACATGATGTTCAATGCAACTCTGCAATCTGTCGATTGAAGTTTACCTTTAACAATCCCAGAGTCTGCAACTAAAATTATTAGACCTCTAGAATGAATAAAAGAATCCTACTTAGAATGGCCTTATTCAGTTACTTTATCATTTTTCATGAGTATCAACATCTCTCTAATCCTTTGAATTCAATGTAATTGTTTCTCTAGTACACATAAAACAAACTCATGTATTGCAGAATGACCATGAAATAAAAGGCTATGTTGAAACATACATACATACATATATATATATATATATATATATATATATATATCTTAAGCCTGTGGTTATGATAATAGAATATATTCTGGAACTATGCTGTCTGATACAGTAGCCTGTGACTATCCAAATTAAAACTTAAGTTCCTTGGTCCTGCTAATATTTCAAATGCTCAGTAACTACATAACATACCTAGTGCTACCAGAGCTAATAGCTACCAAAGCAGGCAGTAGTGAGTAGTTAGTGTCTACCATATAGAACAGGGCAGATTATAGAATATTTCCATCATCCCAGGAAGTCCTATTAACCTGCACTACTTCATTTCACCAATGAAAAGTACACATTCCAGGCAGAGGATAGGAATGCACACAACATATGAAAAAACTAAGTCTACAAATGTGGACTTGTCAGTCCTTACTGGCATTATTTTTTAAGCCATAATGATAAAAGTATTTATTTAATAATTTCTTCAGACTGGAATATTTGTAGAATAGATATAAATCAACAGATAAATCTTGGGAACTAATATAATCAGATAAGGTTTTCATCTTCCATACATACATAATTTGTTACTCTTCCTCAGAATCTATCTAAACTTATCCACAAACCTTACCAAAAAGGACAAATTTCACAAGGAAGAAAATACTGAGAAAAAAATGTTTAAGTAGTAGTTCAGGTACCACGTCCCTGTGTCCCTTCCGATTCAGAAGACACAGAATTTTACAAAATACGTACTCAACAAATTTTTCTATCGATTTTTTTTCACTTGACATCATAAGCCAAGTTGCCATATGGCAGCTAGATGTATTTTGGCATGAACGCATTTGAGTATATGCTCATCTTCAACACAGAGATGCACAATGTATATCCAATATACAAAAAGGTTTTTAAGATATTAGACAATGCATAAAAATCAACACCAGAATTAAAAATAAATAAATAAAATTAGCCAGAATCCATGTGATTATAAACATCAGGGTTTTGACTATCAATTTAATTTTTATTAAATTAATTTAGACAATTTGGCCAGGCACGGTGGCTCACACCTGTGATTCCAGCACTTTGGGAGGCCAAGGCGGGTGGATCACAAGGTCAGGAGATCGAGACCATCCTGGCTTAACACGGTGAAACCCCGTCTCTACTAAACATACAAAAAAAAAAAAATTAGCCGGGCATGGTGGCGGGCGCCTGTAATCCCAGCTACTAGGGAGGCTGAGGCAGGAGAATGGCGTGAACCCGGGAGGCGGAGCTTGCAGTGAGCCGAGATCGTGCCACTGCACTCCAGCCTGGGCAACAGAGCAAGACTCTGTCTCAAAAAAAAAAAAAATTAATTTAGATAATTTTTATTAAAATTTCTAATAAATAAATTTTAATCTCAAAATACCAAATATTTAAAAATTGTATCAAACTTAGGCCTAATATCTTTTGAGAAATTACTAGTTTCCCAATTATTTTAAAGATTTTCTAAAATGATGGATCCATGTAAATGAGACTGGAATATGGTTCGGAAGAGGAAATAACAAATAAATGCTGATGTCTCTTGAATTCCTATTGTCACAATCCTCTAACAGAAATAAAAAAGTCCATTATTTTCACATAACTTGTTAGAAAACATATTCCTGGAGGGCTGCACTTTATCCTAAACTAATAATGGTACAAATAAATCTTTTTTTACGCTTCTATGTCAAAACTACCAGTTTGAGTAAGGGTAGCAACTATTTTATAACACTGCAAAAGAAAAGGTAGAAATTTAGGTCTAAAACTATCAGCTATCACTAGCACCACTGACATGCAATCTTAATTGTTAACTTTTCTACTATGAATGACTGAAAAATAGTTGGTCTTCGTCTTTCCTTCTGTATCACTTAATTGGCACTTGACACATTCTGTTATACTGCTAGTTACCTTTCTATGTGTCTCTCCAACTAAAATGTAAAGTCTAAGAGTATGATTACATTATTCTTATATGTCTCTATATTCTAGAAAAACCCAGAAGAGTGTTTTGAATAAAGTACCAAAAAAAATAGTTGGTGGATTCATTTCTGAGCACCACAAAGGGACCCCTATGAATTCCTAATCATGAATTCTCAGTTATTACTATGACCTTATTGTATTACAGATTTTTTAATCTTGTATTTTAAAAAATAAATTTTAAGAATACACTAAAGCGTTTTTCCCCTTCCCTGAAATGCACTGATGATTTCATTCCATTCCAGGCAATTAACTAGAATTAAAAAGATAACACATTTAGGATGATAAATGCAGAACTCTTAATATTTGTATTATAAATATTTTAAATATTTGTCTTTTTTAGGCCTACTAACTGGGAAGAATTAGCAAAGGCCAACAAAACCCACCTATAAAGCGCACAATTTTTTAAATAAAACTTTAAAAAATAATTCTGAAACAGTATATTCTTATAAGCATTATAAAATAAATGCAAATTCTCTTTGTAAGAAAATTGATAATTCACTCCCAATCCTTGGGGACATATATTTTACCAAGTTGCCTTTTGGGTGGTCACTTACATATTCATTAAAGTTTAAAATAAATTAGTATATTTACTAGTATTTATATAGCACTTGTAATGAAAGTGTTGCCACATCTACCATTTCTTTTAGATAATTTTTCCAAATTTTAAATGACCATATCATCCTATACTTATTTAAAGACGAGATTACTATTCTGTAACTCACACTGAGGAATAACACCAATATACTTTACCTGAATTTTTTTACAGTTACAGAAGATGAATAAATTGGTGTTTCTCCCTAATTCCCCACAGATAAATTTTATTTTACTTTACCCATGATGAAATCAGCTTATTTAAGATATATGCAACCTTTGTACTAGGAATATCCTGGAACCTCAACAAAAACTACAAGCTGATTATTAGAAGACTACTTTTCAAAAACTATAATGTGAACCCTTTAAAAATAAGTAGTAGGGGCTGGGCGCAGTGGCTCATGCCTGTAATCCCGGCACTTTGAAAGGCCAAGGCGGGTGGATCACGAGGTCAGGAGTTCAAGACCAGCCTGGCCAGCATAGTGAAACCCCATCTCTGCTAAAAATCCAAAAAATTAGCTGGGCATGGTGGCGGGCACCTGTAATCCCAGCTACTCAGGAGGCTGAGCCAGGAGAATGGCTTGAACCCAGGAGGCGGAGGTTGCAGTGAGCCGAGATCGCGCCACTGCACTCCAGCCTGGGTGACAGAGCGAGACTCCGTCTCAAAAAAAAAAAAAAAAAAAGGTAGTACACAACATCCTCATTTGAATGGTAATGTATTCCAAACCCTAGAAAAACATGGGAAAATTGTATGTGATTGGCTGGAGTTAGAACATTAGAACACAGCTCTTTAATATTCCACCTAGTAGAGGACAAAAAACTAATTTGTCTGCATATGTTTGCTAAGTGGTATCCAGCAGGCTCATTAGTGGCAAAGAATGAAATAATTTTTAAAAACTGAAAAGCAAAAGTTAAAAAAAAAAGTTTTATATAAACATGGAGTAAGAAAGCAAAAAAGTTGCCTTTGGCAAGTATTATTCAAGGGGCAAAAAGAAGAGGTTAGAAACAAAATAGAAAAAGTAAAATAAAACGCTGAGCTCTTTCTACATGTTGAGACTATGCTCCAAATCCATCAGCAGAAAGAAAAGTTACTTCAGGCAGGAAAAGGCAAAGTAGAAAGGAAAAAGAACAGGAAGGCTCACAAAAACAAAGGGCTCAGAAAAGGTTTCTAGAACAAGTGTTTCTGTTAAATTGATTGTCTTCTCATTTTTCTATTTTAAATATTGGTTTAATTAATCCATATTACTTTTTATAGAATTTTGACTTACTGAAGAATTAATTAGGAACATGATCTATGAAAGACGAAGTTCTTTTTTTTTTTTGAGATGGAGTCTCCCTCTGTCACCTAGGCTGGAGTGCAGTGACGCAATCTTGGCTCACTGCAACCTCCACCTCCTGGGTTCAGGCAATTCTCCTGCCTCAGCCACCCTGAGTAGCTGGGACTACAGGTGCGTACCACCAGGCCCAGCTAATTTTTTTTTTTTTATTTTTAGTAGAGACGAGGTTTCACCATGTTGGCTAGTCTCAAAACTCTTGACCTCAGGTGATCCGCCCACCTCAGCCTCCCAAAGTGCTGGGATTACAGGCATGAGCCACAGCGCCCAGCCTTTTTATTATTATTTTTTTTTAATTTAAAAGAGTTTTAATTGAGCAATGAACAATTTGTGAACTGGGCAGCCCCCAGAATCACAGCACATTCCGAGATATTCCAGAGGTGCCTCGTTAAAGACAAAGTTCTTGACTGTAAAATCTAGGAAAACAAGCAAGTCTTAAATCTCAGGGGAGTATGAAATAAAATATTTTAAAGAAACAAGGATTTTGCTTGTTTTGAGAACAAGGTTTTAACAAGAGAAGGGGTTTATCTGTTCCAACCTACCATGCACTTAACAGCAGTTATTTCATCAAATGTTCTTCCTTTTGAATTTGAAATTAAAATGTAGCTAGAAAATAATTTGTAAAATGGTACTTTTGGGACACAGAGGCTAATGAAAGTATTTTGTATAATATATGCACTGCTTAAGCAGGCATATGTAAAGTATGTATATCCATTTTTGGGGCAGAACGCAGTGGCTCATGCCCCTAATTCCAGCACTTTGCGAGGCCAAGGCAGGCAGATTACTTGAGGTCAGGAGTTCAAGACCAGCCTGGCCAACAAGGCAAAAAAACCCTGTCTCTACAATAATATAAAAATTAGCCAGGCAGGGTGGTATGCACCTGTAATCCCAGCTCCTCGGGAGGCTGAGCCAGGAGAATCACTTGAACTTGGGAGGCGGAGGTTGCAGTGAGCCAAGATCACGCGACTGCACTCCTGCCTGGGCAACAGAGTGTCTCAAAAAAAAAAAAAAAAAAAAATTTATATCTGTTTTTGTATTCTTAAAATAAATTAAAGCCCAAGTCTTTTGGATAGATTTTTATATTTCTAATTCAGGGCATAGATTCAGCAGATTTGATGTAATTAAGAATAAAGTAGTTACTGGAATTTTAATGAAAAATTATCCACAATGTTATGAATGGATGCTTTCTTACTTAGGACTACTGGAAAAAGTAATGATGTTTTTGTTTACCACAATACAGAGCTTGAAAAATTTAATAAATATATATAAATATATATCTCTCTCCAATTGACCACACTTTACATAAATTATGTATGTTAGTTCTGTCATTTACCAGATCCTGATGATTATAAAAGGCACCAAGTTTTAGGCAATATAAAATAAATCATATCATATTTTAGTGAAATAAAACAATCAAACTGGCTTATCAAGTTTAAGTGAATTATTTGTTATTCCTCAACAAGCTCACCACTCAGTTTGTATTTGTTCATATTATATTAAATACTGTCAAAATATTGGGGAAAATATTGCATGATTATTAATTTGGAGTGGGAGAAAAAAAAAAAGGAAAGCTGACTAAGGCCCACTATATACATCCTGTAACTGCCCTCAAGTGATTTAAAATTGACTAAACCAATCTGATCATTTTACTTAAACAGTGCAACATAAAGCATGCATAATGCAACAGGCTCATGGTCACATGCAGAAAAAGCCAAAAAGGGCTTAAATGTATAGGAAAGAAACAGAAAGGAAAAGAAAAACAAAGCTCTTCAAATGCTTTCTTGGGACTGGCGGAACAGATTAGAAGGGTTGTTACATGCATGCTAAACTTGGTGGAATTGAAAATACCATACCTTAGGGGTGATCCGATGAGCAATGTAGGAGGGGTAGGGTTACTCCCTGCATTGTGCCGGCGCCGTACTGCCTGGCGCCTAAATGTGCTGCGTTCACGGCGAAATGACACTGCCTCCTCGCTGGCTTGTGCTGCTGCATCAAGACAGACTTAGGTCAAACAAGAGCCTAGGTCAGAGATGTAAATAGCAGCTGAGCCTGGCTTTCCCTTGACTTCCCACCCTCATGGGTAAAGTGAACTTATTAATCCAAACTGTTTTCACATGTATACTGTCAATCTATCATATCAGGTAATACACAAAAAGTATCTGTCATTTATTTAAAGAAAATTGTTTCTTTAAAAATAATGTTTTTGACTTATTATCTAGCCTTGCCATCTTCTCTTCAACCTCAATTTCCTATTTTTAAGATCTCTGTTGTTTAAATCTTTTCCTGAAAGTTTCATTTATTTTGGTCCCATATTCCTCTATTACCCCGTTAATTAAGTCAACCTTAAAAGCACAGTATTGATTAGTTTCCACTAATGGGAAGAGGACATTAGTTTCTTATATTCGTATTGTAAAAGCAGCAAAGACAGTATATTTCACTGTTGATGACAAGGAGTAAGGCAGTAAGTTTATCTCACAGTACCCTGTGCCATAATTTTGGCAGCATTAAATGAAACCTCTGGTTGTGAAGCTGCAAAACCAGTGTGTTAATTCAACATAGCATGAATATATTTTACTCTAAAGGTACTTCATTACCATCAAACTTTATTCAACTCCATGCCCCTGGCTCTGGTCCTCTCAACTTTAGGAAGCAAATATTGGCAAATTGGCAAGCACAGGAACTCATAGCTTAATCTACAAAAAATAAAGTACAAACAAGCAAAAATGTTTGTACTTTATTGTTTGTACTTTTTTTAGTTTGTACTAAAGCCAAGCATACAACATGAGAACATCACAACAATGGCTTAGTAGAACTACACAGATCTTACAAAACCACAAAAATTGACCGATTTGGGTTTCTAAAGCAAAATGTAAAATGATTTTCATCCATTTAAATATAAAACAAAACAACTGTGTGATCTAAATAATTTGGGAATCATTTTGCTTTTGAGAAAGGGCATTTTGATGCTAAATATGAATAAAAACACAAGTTAGCACAGAAACATTCTTTCCAAACATGAAACTTCCTTTAAATTCCTTTACTTGTGGGGTAAAAGTCCATGTATACAAAAATTATATATGGCCTATGACAGCAAAAGATGCTGATTAAATCCGGTCATCTACAACTGTTGTCCAATGCAGTAGCCATTAGCCATATGTGGCTATTTAAACTTAAATTAAAATTAAATAAAAATAAAAATTCAGTTCCTGAGATTGATGAATCATACTTCAAGTGCTCCGTTGCTACATGTAGCTAGTGGTTACCATTACTGGACAGTGCAGATATAGAACATTTCCATCATCACACAAAGTTATATTGAACAGTGCTTATCTAGAAAGATAAGGTTGCCTTTTTGTGACCACAGCTACAAGGCACATTACATACTTTGCCAATTCCTGACAACCATGACTTCAATGAAATGAAAATGCAATCAGCATTGCCACAAAGGAGAAAACATGTATTAGGGAAGGGCAATCAATGGATGAAGGATGAAACAAAGCAGAGAAGAAAACAAGCCAATTGAGGGAAGAAATGAAAAATCAGATGAACAATTGGTATACCTGCTAACAGTTCTTAGACACCAATAAGGTTTAACTCAGGTTATGGAATTTAAATCACTATTTTAAAACTCAATTCAAGAATTATTTTGTGAAATATTATATTAAAGATTTCTATTCTACAGTTGTTACAAACTATTATGCTATTATTTATAAAGCATTATTTGTAACAAACTACTATGCTCAATTTACAGGTCAATCCAACTACATCAAGAAACTTTCAAACATTTTTTCTAGTTCTAGATACTGTTTCAGCCAAAATAGCAGAGTAAAATTTACCCAGACATAATTTATAGAAGATAATTTAATCCATAAAATGTACCAAAATTATTCTGAAGGATTTGGGATAAAAGCAGTACGTAATCATACAGAACAGGAAGAAGAGAAACATGAGACGGTTTTCTTTACTATCTTCCTTCTACTGAAGACTTAATGGTGTTAATCTTAAGTAAAAGCTAATTATTCCATAGTACTGGGGTGAAAAGACAAACTACAGTGTCCACTTTTAGTCAAAATGTTTCTTGGTTTCTTAAGAAAACAATTTTTTTTGCTAGTAATACACCATTTATATTTTGTTATCTGCAAAATAGCTGCATATTATGATGCACTTACTTTCTTAACAGTCTTGGAAACACATCAAGAGGAAAGTTTAGGCATCCAGTGAACAATGTTAAAGTGGAATTATGATTACTGTCTATGCTGTCTCTTATAATATTCAGGGGGTAAACACCTACTGTTACAAGAATTTTCAAAATGTTGACTATGGCAACTGCTTTAACAGTATCACACATTCAAGTGAAAATGCTATATTACAATTTATGGTCACAGTATGTAAGATTAAGCCATGCCCCTGGGAATGTGCTACTTACAGAACATCTCTATTTGGAATAGTCGAGTAGGGGTCCAGTTCTATTCCAGCCAAAGAGGGAAAATGTGTCTTTAAAGCTTAAAATAATTTGCTGTAAGCACATACAGTCACATATGTTATAGCCACACTTGATAAATATTCCCTTCCAGAATCCAATTGTAATAAACTCTTTTTGAATTGTTTAACTTTATAGAAGAAAAATAGTGAACCAAAAAAAAAAAATTTAATCTTTTAACTAGGGAATCAGAGAGAAGGGAGAAAATACTTTAAAAACTGTTTTTGGAGTTGACATTTTGACACTGCTTAAAACCCAGTATCTCTGGCAAAGAAGAATGAAATTAATTCAATAGTAAGAGCATAAAATGCAGATAGTGAAAAATTAGCACTCTAGTACAACTAAACTTTATGCATGTGTAGGTAAAAAAGAAAAAACATGCAAGCAATTCAAAAACCGTGAATGACAAGAAGTATAAAATACTTCCAAGGGTATATATCCAGAGAGTTGTATATTTTGAAATGTATTTTTTCTAACGTACAAATCTCAACTTTCTAATCATTTATTTGTGTTAAAAAGACTGACTTCACAATCATAATAAGTTTAAGAGGAACCTTCAGGCCTGGCGCAGTGGCTCACGCCTGTAATCCCAGCACTTTGGGAGGCCGAGGTGGGTGGATCACCTGAAGTCAGGAGTTCGAGATCAGCCTGACCAACATGATGAAACCCTGTCTCTACTAAAAATACAAAAATTAGCGGGTGTGGTGGCAGGCGCCTGTAATCTCGGCTACTCGGGAGGCTGAGGCAGGAGAATCACTTGAACCCAAGAGGCGGAGGTTGCAGTGAGCCAAGATCGTGCCACTGCACTCCAGCCTAGGCAACAAGAGTGAAACTCCATCTAAAATAAAATAAAATTAAAAACAAAATAAATAAAATAAAAATAAGAGGACCCTTCAGATAATTTAGCTGTTTCCTTTTGTTATACTGATGCAATCACTCAATTAAGTTTAAGCATTTACTAAATGCCTAAGTTCAATTCATGGACAAACCAAAAATATCCTCTTACATTTTAGACAGCTGTGATCTGGTCCATTCCTGAAGATAACAAAGGAAGTTTAATCCATAATACATACCTCCCACCTCAGGAGTTACTTCACATTTATCTCAATGAGATAAGGAAAATTCTACACATTCTAAAATGAATTATTTTAGTGCAACTATTTATTTTTTATGGTAGTATTACAATTATAGACTATCAGTTGGTTCTACTCTGTGAATAAAAGCATAGAAAGCATTAAAGGCACTAATATACTTTTAGAATAGCTGGGATGCCCAAAGAGCAAAATTTAATGAGGTAGGAGGTAATGGCTATCCAAATTCTATCTCAAAAATTGGAAGCTGTGAGTATAAATACACACAGATAAAGATGCTATTTAAAAATGATGTCGGCAGGTCGCGGTGGCTCACGCCTGTAATCCCAGCACTTTGGGAGGCCGAGCCAGGCGGATCACAAGGTCAGGAGACTGAGACCATCCTGGCTAACACGGTGAAACCCCGTCTCTACTAAAAATACAAAAAATTAGCCGGGCGTGGTGGTGGACGCCTGTAATCCCAGCTACTCGGGAGGCTGAGGCAGGAGAATGGCGTGAACTCAGAAGGTGGAGCTTGCAGTGAGCCAAGATCGTGCCACTGCACTACAGCCTGGGCAACAGAGTGAGACTCCGTCTCAAAAAAAAAATGATGTCAATCATATACCTGATTAATTTATGAAAGAAATAATATGTAATAAGTCACTTTCTAGTTGTCATGTACTGCTATGGTTGGCATCTTGCAGTAGCTCAATTTCAATTAAATTAATAAAAATTTAGACAGAGGAAATTGCTCAAGTGTTCTTTCCAGTGAGAAATGTTTATCGTGGGGGGAAAAGGTGTAAATCTGGAAAGATCACGAAAATAAAAATAGGCATTTAGTACTTCAAAAAGATCAGAAAAAATGCTATTAGGAAATTAAATTCTTAAGAAAGATGACAAAAGTATGAAACAAGTATATATATATCTCAGAAAAAGAAAAGGCATCTGCAAACATTCTGAAACACATTGTAATGTTCAGGATAAAAGGGATTTTACCCAACAACAAAATTACTATATAAAGACATAAACATTCAAGTAATTTTGCAAAAACATTCTAAAAGGAATGTTTTAGTCTAGGCATGAAATCCACTTTATCTAAATAGTTTTTCCCTTTCTTAGTTTCTTTGTCAGCCAAGAACGATGCTACCATCAACATACAAAGATTTTGTTCCAATGAAAAAACAAATGCTTTTCAAGCTCATTCTTGTTGGAAATAACAAAAAATAAGTAAATAAATAAATGTTTTTAAGTGTCATTTTCTGGGAAGCCAAACACTGCCCAATTTCTAAGCATCAATTCTGAATTAAAATAATTTCCATCTGTGAAAACATTTTAAAGGACTGGCCTACTTTTTGACAAGCCAAGGAACCAGAGCAAACAGTAACAAAATTATTAGCTATGGGTGGGCACGGTGGCTCACGCCTGTAATCCCAGCACTTTGGGAGGCCGAGGTGGGCGGATCACAAGGTCAGGAGTTCGAGACCAGCCTGGCCAATATGGTGAAACCCCATCTCTACTAAAAATACAAAAATTAACCGGGTGTCGTGGCGGGCACCTGCAGTCCCAGCTACTCGGGAGGCTGAGGCAGGAGAATCGCTTGAACCTGGGAGGCGGAGGTTGCAGTGAGCTGTGATTGTACCACTGCACTCCAGCCTGGACAATAGAGTGAGACTCCGTCCCAAGAAAAAAAAAAATTATTAGCTGAGCTTTGCGTTAAAGATAATTTGCACATCCTTACTGATATTTTCCACAAGTCCACCAGCCAAACAAATATAGCTTAAGTATTACTTATACTTTTATAGGTGATTTCTAATCCTTTTTAGTCCTTTGTGAATGGGATGAAAGATATCAACCCGTTAGATACAATTTTGCATCCACTTTCAGGAGAGTCCCTTAATAAAGGGTCAGTAGTGATGAACACATGTATTCGAAGTGACATTTTTGAGAGGGGACACATCCTTACAAATGAAAGACATCACTGTCTTTGTTTATATAATGAACCTACAATACATAAAGCATTTTCACATTTCTACAGTCATTAGGTTTAAGCTCATTGGAGTCTGACAGTTAACTGTGAGACAGGTCTAGACGGTTATTATTCCTGTTTTACAGTTGAGGAAATTGAGGCACAGATTTAATGGCCTGCCAGAATATTAAGACAGTAATTAGAGGTGGTATGAAAATGTAACCGTTGGATTCCCAGAACTTCACTGCTGAGAGAAAGAAAAACACTGTAATGTTTGTTCCTACTTGAAAAAATCTGGCATGGGCTGGTTTTGGGAATTCTATATACAAACATTTATTTGCTTCACCAATAAACACCACTTTTCTTGATATTGTTGTAAAGGAAGATAATTTTGCCAAACCTATTTTGCTGTATTTAATAAGCATTCTTCTGTGCAGTTTTATATATGTCTAAGCTTTTTTCACAGTAAAGAACATCTTTCCTTAATGAAATCAAGGTCAGCCACATATACAATGAGTATAGCATTATACTTTAATACAGTATTAAGTTATGCTATTATGATGTCTTTGAACACTATTAAAATGATAGTCTGTCCCTGCATTTAATGACCACACACCGCTGGGTTTCCTGCTTTGGCTTGTACAGTTATTACAGCTTCTCTTTTAGGGTTAGCTGTGTATTTCTTCTGCTGTCATTACTTCAGCTTCTATAAGTACCCATCCCTTCTACTAATTTACTGCTTCTAACTTTCCATGTGAACTGGGAAATCAGAAAATTAAGTTTATTAGACTTGAGAGTCCTTCTATTTAGTAAAGTACAAAAGCTACAATTTGCATTTTATTGTCTGTTTACTGGTCTTTATCTTCTGTCTAATGCTCAATGATATCTGGGTACAAAATAACACACCTTCAATTTATGTGTATAGCACAAACCCTCATAAATTTTTATTGAAAAGATCTGACTTTTCTTTAAATAATTGTTTCTTTGAAGATTATTTTTGGTTCCCAACACAATATTATATTAGGATCCTATTTCATGCTTACAGAATAGTGACTCAAACATTATATTTAAAATAAATTTCACAGAGAAATAGAAGTTAAACAATTCAGAAAAAAAGCACAAAGAATAGTAAGTAAACACAAACCTCTCCACTCGGGCTATTCTTTGTAATCCATTAAGTGACACAGAAAATATGCTATAACAACAGTATTGAATCACACAGGAAATAAGTTTAAACGGTCCAAAAGAAAACGACTTCCTTAAAAGTAATACAGGCTAGAAAACACAGGACATTTTTCTACCATATAGCTTCTATGTAGTTTTCATTTCTTAAAATATTAGTCATAAAGATATGCCTTATAATTTAAAAAGAAAAATTAAGTACAAAACAAGAGATCAACAGAAAATGACTTAGTTTGAACTTAAAACATATTTCCTGTCTCAGTAATCACAAACCATTATTGATGAAATTCAGTTTTAACCAAAGAACTTGACTAATGACAGGACGTATGAAAACAATCACTTGTTACGTGACTAAAAAAGATGTTATATGACATATTACTGCCAAAATAAGGTCCATGTCACTAAATTGATGTTAATAAAAATGTTTTTCCTATTGGCATTATGTAAGAAACTAGGGAATCAGAATTTTTTATTTTTACTATTGAGTTTCACAATGGCACACTTAGACTATCTCTAGTTTATTTCTACATTTAATCACTTTCTTCTACTTTAATTTTATACCACTGAATTAGTAAGGTTAAACGACAGGCTACACTGTGCAGCATAACTAACTGGCCTTGAACAGTCACAGCAGCACTAGTAAGCATTTACTGTGTGCCAGGAACTTAACTCCTTAGTCCTCACAACAACCCTATGAGATAGATACTATAATCATCTCATTTTAAGATGAGGAAGCTGAGGTTTGTAAGTAGCTTTCCTAGAGTCACAACAGTGGAGCCCACATACTAACAAAGGTATCTGACTCCATGTCACTAAACTAGATTACCTCCTATTTTAGCATACTTTATTTTAGTACTTTAAAGTCTATTTCCTAAATTCCATCTCTCTACACTACCACCACCACCTACCTTAAAATAAAATGAAAAGAAATCGTTGGAGAACTTATCGACACCTTCATATTCTTTAGGATAAAATCTACCTATGGTTTATGCATAGGTATATGAATGGCCAAGCAGTAACATGATGGTTGACAGGTTTCAGTAGTACAGTATGTAAGGAAGGATAGCCCAGAAACATTTCTTCTAAATTGTCAGACAGGACTGTAACAGATAATGTTAACATAAACAAGTATCTTTAAACAGTATTTGAGAGTCTCTGTAATTTTTAAATAATAAGAACCAAAACAAATCCCCTTCTACCACCTCCAACCTTTCAAAAAGCCCAAGTAAACTCCCAACAAAACCCCTATATTTAGTTATGATAAAAACCAATTAAAAAACCCCCAACACATTTAAGTGCTTTAGTTTTGCTCTTATTTGTATTCTAAACCCAATGAAGCTCAAATTAAAAAAGCCTGTGCAATGCCTGCCCCAGGCAAAAAAATGTTTTTAAACAGCCCACAGACTATTACATTTCTTCCACCAAAGCAGATATTTTTATTTCATTATCTCTTATTAACATTTAATTGAGTTATTTAAATTAAAAAAAAGCAGTACAAACAAAAGAAAACAAAAGCTAGAGCCTAGAAAAACAAGGGCTAATATAGCTTAAAGAACAGCACCGAGAAGCAAATAACACCTTTCAGGTAACTTTTCCTAAAAAACAGAACACCTCACAGTCCCCATGAAAAGGAAATGACATTTTAAATATAAACGCATGAATTTACTACATATTTTTGTACACATTTTTTCAGTATTTACATTTCCACAATATTCAGAACAGCAATATTTTTCTATCATAGCATGTTGACTTAAAATTCATTTTGATAACTTTAAAAATTAAGCTATATTTTAAAATCCAATGGTTTCTTGCATACTGTGAACATATCTGATATGATTTGTGTGAGAAATCACTACAAGCATTTCAGGTTGTTTACAAAAAAAAAAAAAAAGAGAGAACTATATCCAGGTCAAAGACTCGAGGGAATTTAATTACTCTACTGTCACCAAATGGTTATAACCACTTCAGATATAATTAGTTCTCAATATTTAGGTTTGATAAACTATATTCTTCTTTAGGTACTAGAAAATTTCTTTACGTTCCCATTAGAAATTAATCTGGCTAGAAACTTGACCCCCAAAAAAATCTAAGAAAATGTTTACCACAATATGGACTTTTAAAATACTTCGGGTGAAATTAACATCTTTGAGAAAAAGCATATATTCATATGTTTCATAATGTTTGTACAAACAAAATCCAGCTTAACTTTTAATAAATGACTGAACATTACTGTATCAAACAGACTATAACTTTAAAACTAATGATACAAGCATAAATAAAGGGAATAGGGGTAGAGGCTAAAAATGCTAAGGTACTAACAACAAAAGACCTGATTTTTCTGATTCTATTCAAGAAGCAGATTCCATAAAAACCAGAACCAAATAAACAAACTATCTTGGGCAGAAGAACACAGCAAGAAATAACTCTGAAATAAAGAGGCCAACACACACTGACAGAATATAAAATCACCTATCCAAATTTGCACAATTCTCCAAAAACCTGAAATAAATAAGCTATTACTTTAACCAGAACACCATCACTGTTATTATGGGGGCATCTTACATCAATTAATGGATACCAAATGTCAATATAAACTACAAATCTGAATTTAATAAACTTTAAGAATAATGTGTGAAATTATAGAAAAAAATAGTATTTTCGTAACGCCTAAAACTTGAGTAAGCAAGAAATAAAACCAAAGATACAGACTTAAAAAAAGAGCCACAATTCTCAATGTACATAATCAGATCTAAAGTAATATTTGTAAAACTCTTATATAATAGGCTGAGTGATCTAATTTTGAAAGTTCAGTGTCATATACTGTATAAGAGTTGATTAAAACTGGTTTGGTGCCCTTAAATAATTATATATTTTATTGTTGCTATTGCTATACAAAGGAAGAGGGCTAATTTTTGTTATTCCCAGCAAAACATTAACAGGTGGCAACTGGCTTAGAAACTGGTGTTCTTGACACCATCAAGAACAAATTGACGTATTCAAGTATTGCAACCAAAAAATATGTTCTTGGTGTTCATACCAAAACCTTTTCTAAGATAATCACCTACTTCTTCATTCAAGAAAGCTTATTTTAATAACACAGTGGAAGGGGGAATATTAACAGAAGCATATTTTAGTAAGTACTACTCTAATTAATAGTATGAAAAAGCAGTGAGTCTTACAGAAATCTCTTCTTACAGTTTACTTACCTCCACTGACTGCATCTTGCTCTTCCCCTTCAGGAAATGCAACCTGGTTTGGCAAGCTATTCCTAGATCGAGTGACTGTCTCTAACTGGGAAGCCCGTCCTAATAAAGATAGCTCATCTAGCACCTCTCCCTCTTTGGCCTCAAGATCTGATTTTGAAGTGGTTAAGGGCTTTATACTTTCAGGTGCCATTAACCTGTTTGAGTCATTCAAACATGCTACTGTGCCACTGTCCAGGCTCAACACTCGGGCACGAGTCTTGGCACTATTTGTGCTAGAAGTCCGTCGTGTTGCACGCTTTTTGCTGGTTCCTTCAGGAACCAAATGAGCTTTGTGTGTGTGTTCAGAGTCTGTGCCCCTTTCTTTATGAGTGTGTTTGGTCTTTAGAGCACTGTATCTGCCCTCAGGAGACTGACAGGAATGAGAAGTGGTGCTAGAAGAGCTATCACTGCTGAACTGGTGAGCAGACTGAACACTTGATGCTCTACTCAAGTCACTCTGATCACTAGAGTCTTCGTCATGACAAAATATAGCACTGTGTGGCTTGGTACCAGAAACACCTCGAAAGCAAACATAGTCCCTATGCCGGCTTGAATCAAAACTGCTAGCCCGTTTTTTTCCTGTGCGTCTCCTGCCTGACTTGTGGGCAGAAGCTGTCCGATGGATTACGCTAGAAGATTTAGGTCGAACATCCCCTTCCTTTTGCTTTCCACCAACATCTTTACGCACTTTGGAATCCACAGAAACAGCTGACTTATCACTCTTCTCTTCTTTGTTTTCTGCAGTGTTCCCAGGTGGTCTGTCCCCTTGGGAAGTAAATTCATTTGCATGGGGATTTTTATTGGCTTCTTCAGATGCAGAGGTGCTGAGACCTCTCTGGTTGTGCATCTCATCAGAGGGGGTGGGGTCCTTGGCCTCGTGAACCCCACTGTTGGTACTCGCTTCCATAGCAATCTTTTCACTGCTAGTCCTTTTGTCACTGGCACAGCTATTCTTCTCCTCTGGGCCTGCACAGCACTCTTTCTTCCTCCCACTTTTTGTTCCTGCTTTAGGAGACTCCTCATGCTCTGACAGGATGCTCTCTATGTGAGTTGAGCTGGTCTGCTCACTTTTATAGCTGCTGACAGTACTGTTAGTGTCCCGGTCCGTTCCACTGCAGTAGCTTTCTGTTGACCCACTACTCCGTGTGCTCAGGCTCCTCAAGCTGTCCATGCTTTTCTCTGCTTTCAAAGGTTTGCTCTTCCCACTTTTTGTGGGTGGCTGAGAAGTATTGATTTTCAAGTCACCAGCAAGCTGAAATTCCCCAGATAAACCAGAATTTTCCACCAAGGATTCTTTGGATCCAGAAAGAGGCTTGGAAGATTCTAACTCACTAACTGGATCTAATCCACGTCTTTGCTGATAAAGGGGAAAATCATTCAGTGAAGTGTCTGGAAAAGCCACAGCAGAGCTAGAAGTCCGTGGTACACCTCGCGGCCGGTGGTCTTTTCTATAAGAGTGTGAGTGTAAAGGTACAAGAGAAGCTACTTCTGTGTCACAGGCGCTGGACAGAGACTGATCAACATGGTGGTGGTGGTTATGACTTGGCAGGTTCACTTTGTCACTGAAGTCCCTTGGCAAGTCCTGTCCACAAGAGGATAAGGAAGGCTGAATAGAGATGAAGGAGTCATTGGAGACAAGACGAAAGAGCTTCCGATCAGCTGCCAAATCTGTTTCAAACACATATTTTGAAATGTTAAAATAAATGTATGATCTGCTTTTCTACTGTTTAACAATGGAAAGAATTCACTGCATACAGTAAATCAAGTATAAATAATTTCTCAAGTAGTTCTCCAAAGAGCTGCTTTCTGTTTCACAGCTGCACAAAGAAAGCATTCTACTCACGAAATGAACTGAACTTCCAAATCTTTGAGTTCTTCAACTGGCCTCAGAAAGAGTTGTATAGACTATCAACAATAAAATTAAGAGGAAACAAAGGGGCCGGGCGCAGTGGCTCACGCTTGTAATCCCAGCACTTTGGGAGGCCAAGGTGGGTGGATCACAAGGTCAGGAGATCAAGACCATCCTGGCTAACACTGTGAAACTCCGTCTCTACTAAAAATACAAAAAAATTAGCCGGGCGTGGTGGCGAGCGCCTGTAGTCCCAGCTTCTCCGGAGGCTGAGGCAGGAGAATGGTGTGAACCCAGGAGGCGGAGCATGCAGTGAGCCGAGATCGTACCACTGCACTCCAGCCTGGGCAAAAGAGCAGGACTCTGTCTCAAAAAAAAAAAAAAAAAAGAAAGAAAGAAAGAAAGAGCAACAAAGGACTATACTTAAAATAGGCCTGGATTTCTATGCAAGCTCTATCTCCAACTTACTAACTTGGTAACTTTGGGTTACCCCCCTGTAAATCTGTTTCCTCATCTGCAAAATGGGACATCAACTTCACTGAGTCACAGGCAAGGAATAACTGAGTTAATGACATATATTGCTTGACACAATGCCGTCACAATTAAAGATGGCTATCATTATTCTACCTTACTAACACAATATTAAAATCCTTTCAAAAAGCTAATACGATTATTTCACAAATCAAGAAAACCTAGAGTAATCAGAAACAAACAAACGAAAATAGGCTGACCAATGCCTAAACAAGATATAATGATGTAAGACATCCTCTTGCTGTTCAGAATGGTAAAAACAGCAATAATTACAGAGCAAAATACTGCATTTTATCTTTCATTATTGGTATAGCAATTAAAAAATACTTCATGAAAAAAATACTTACCTTCTTGTATCTGTAAGACCACTGCTTTAACCCTCCATCCAGACCAGTGATTAGTGACTTATCATACATACTAGATATACAAATGTAAATATAGATATAAATCAATGTATCTACCTACCTACCTACATTGTAATTTATCTTGGAATATAGCTTGACAACCAAACTGCAAAATAGCTGATTTTTAAATATATGTTTTGACAGACAAGGACATCTGAACCTGCTGTTAGTTCAATAAAAAGAAAAATTATTGTCTTGTCATAGCTGGATAGACAAAGTAAAATAACAGATTCTATAGTAAATCTGAGTCTTCCCAGTAGAATCTCAATGACCAAAGCAGACATTTCCCCCTAAGATTAAAAGAAAGGAATGAGTTATTAAAAATGTTTATGTAATCTTTAAAAATCTAAATGTAGATTTAGCTATGATTAATTAATTAAAAATTCACGGATAGCCTCTGGAGTGTACCATAAAAATTATAGTGTATAAATGTCCAATTACACTTTATTTTACATTTTAAAGTTTTCAAGATAAGT